>NC_000004.12:181042593-181345623 GCF_000001405.40 Homo sapiens | reverse complement strand
CAATAATCCATTAGTTCATTAGATCAACACTGTTCTTTTAGCCTCGGAGTTCTAAACTAGGTTTTGGAAAGATTAAAAAGCATTAATGTATACATACTTCCATAGCCAGTTCTTAGCATAGTTGTCCATTGTCTATCTATTCGTGCATATGTGGACATCTTGGAATTGGTGTAGAATACATAAATATCAGTTAGCCTTCAAAGTGACCCCGTGGGTTAGAGAAGAGAGCAGGGGAGCCCTTTTGAACCCTCAAAGTCATCCATGAGGGTCAAAATCAATCTCTTCCAAACCCCTGTTAATGTTGATATTTTGATCTCCTTCTATGAATCACGAATGTCTTAACTGACTCTAGAATGGTGAATCCTTTGCAGAAGGTTTTCAATTTACATTACTCAGATCCATCAGAGAAATAGCTCCCTCTGACAGGCATAGCCTTATTAAATGTATTTCTTAAATAATAAGACTTGAAAGTCAAGTTTCATGGATTGCAGAATGGATGTTGTTTGCAGGCATGAAAACAACATTAATCTCCTTGTACATCTCCATCAGAGCTCTTGGGTTACAAAGTGCATTGTCAATGAGCAGTAATAGTGTGAAAGGAATCTTTTTGCCTAGGTAGTGGGTCTCAACTCTGGGCTTAAAATATTCAGTAAACCTGGTATAAACTGGTGTACTGTCATACTGCTTTATTGTTCAATTTCTAGAGCACGAGCAGGGTAGATTTTGCATAATTCTTAAGGGCCCTAGGATTTTTGAAATGATAACAGAGTACTGGTTTTAACTTAAAGTCACCAGCTGCAGTAGCCCCTGATGAGATAGTTAACCTGTCTTTTGAAGCTCATATCATTGAAGGTAGGCATTGATGTCTCTTCTGGAGCTATGAAAGACCTAAATGGCATCTTCTTCTAATACAGGGCTATTTTGTCTACACTGAAAATCTGTTGTTTAGTATAACCAACCTCATCAATGATCTTAGCTAGATCTTCCTGATAACTTCTTGTAGCTTCTTCATCATCACTGTCTACTTCACCTTGAACTTTTATATTATGAAGGGAGATGACTTTTTTCCTTAAACCTCATGAAGTAAACATGAAATTGCTAGCCTCCAAGTTTTCTTCTTCAGCTTCCTTACCAATCTTAGCTTTCATAGAATTAAAGAGAGTTAATTCTCTCTTTAATTCTTGCCCTGGGTTAGGCTTTCGTTTAAGGAAATGTTGTGGCTGGTTTGATCTTCTATCCAGACCCCTCAAACTTTATCAGCATATAAGGCTGTTTTCATCACTTGTATTTTCACTGAGTAGCACTTTTAGTTTCTTTCGAGAACTTTTCCTTTGCATTCACAGCTTGGCAAACTATTTGGTACAAGAGGCCTGTGTATTGACCTGTCCCAGCTTTCAACATGCCTTCTTCAGCAAGCTTAATCGTTTCTAGCTTTTGATTTAAAGTGAGAGACGTGTAACTCTTTCCTTCATTTAAACACTTAGGGGCCACTGTAGAGTTACTGACTGGCCTAATTTCAATATTGTTGGGTCTCAGTGATCAAGGAGGCCCAAGGAGAGATATAGAGATGGGGAAATGGCTAGTGGAGCAGAGAGAACACCCATATAGTATTTATCCATTAAGTTCACCATCTTATGTGGGGGCAGTCCACGTGGGCACAAAATAATTACAATAGTGATATTGGAGATCCCTCATCACAGATCACCATTACAGATAATAAGAATATGAAAAAATTGTGCTATTGTGAGAATGACCAAAATATGACACAGAGACAAAACGTAAACACATGCTGTTAGAAAAATGAACTTGTTCGATGCGGGTTTCCCACAAACCTCCAATTTGTAAAAAAATGAATAAGTAAAATAAATAAATAAAATAAAAAAATAAAAAAACCCACAGTATCTGTGAGTCACAATAAAGCAAAATGCAAAAACACAAGGTATGCCCGCATGTGATATTTGTCCAGAGACAGAAACACTAGTCACATAAGATGCCAAGAACTGGTTCCTACATATCGCCAATCTGCTGCTTCAGCACTGGCTTTTATGTTTCAGTGTCCACATCTGCCTTCATGCTTCCCTTTTTGTCTTGCTTGTTCTAGCTTAGAGACCCCTTTATCCACATTTTAAATTGCCTTCTGAGATCGAAATACTCTGAAATTTAGATGAAGGATTTGTCTGTCATCTTTGTTATCTCAAAAACCTACCTGCAGGACACTCGAAATCCTAGATTAGAAGAAAATGATTTGGACTCCTGAGACTAGTGCAAACAGGTTTTTATTCCATACCACATCCTAGGAAAGGAATTAAAACATGCAGGTGTCTTCGATACAACAAATAAATGGTGCCATGAACAAATGTGTTGCTGTTATGTAGTGCCCTGGGAATGTAGTTATGGGCTGGCTTTCCATCTTGCATCTGCCCTGAGAGTCAGTGAGTTAGTCATAAGCCAATAAACATCTTTGATATCTGGTGGGGGTGGGGGGGTGCGGGGACCTTACAGCCTTCGTGCAGTTGTGAGCACCAGTAAGGATTTAGGAATCTCTTAAATCTCTTATGTTTCCAACTTCATGGGGGGAGGGAACTGCCAAGGTAGCTTGTATGGGCAAGGTTTGTAGTAGAGGGTAATCGACTCATCACCTGGGAGCTGCCTATAATACCAGGCCAAGTTGTTGAGTGGAAGGGTGAGCTCCTTGAATCTGCATTGTGAGAAGATGGTGTTAGAATATTTGCTGTGGTCTCAGAGGACCAGTGAAGAAGTTCAGAACAGTCCACACCCAAATATGTCATTGTGGTATAATGATTACTTTGAGTTAAAGGCACTTGAAAAAATAGCATGTGCAAGAAGATCGCTCTGACCCTCCTTCTGTTTCTTAAAAACAGAAAATGAAATTGTCATGTGAAACATGTCCTTACGCTAGAAGGAAAGTATCATTTGTATCATCAAGGATGAATGGTTTAGGCCAAGAGAAGTCTGTACAAACTAGAGAGACACTAACCCCCGTCCTCCTGGCGATTTCTCCACCAATGAACTCCCCTGGCCCAAGTCCCTTTGCCTTCTCATATTTTCATAATTTACTCATCTTTGTCCAGTTCAGTATATAAGTGTTCAATCTAACTGCATCTTTGGGTCTTCATTATGAAGGCTTATGAAGGCTTATATGCCATGGAAAACTTGTATCAAATAAACGTGTATGTTTCTCTCCTGTCTGTCTGATGTCAATTTAATTCTCAGGCCCAGCTGACAAACTCTCAGGGTAAAGGTGAAGTTTTGCCTCTCCTACGTAGGTGTGATCTACTAGAATACTGTCAGTCTCATGGCATCAACTTCATATCGTTGTTGGGAGGATTAAATGAGTTAATAATGGACTTAATGTATACACTGCAATCTGCACTCGACAAATATTAGTGGGAAAATCGATAGTTTTTTATCAAATTAGTGCCAGGGATTTTGAAGTCTACACAAGGGAAGCAAAGGGATTATATTATTGAGGATATAATATGTAAATTGAGAGGAAAAGCATGTAGGATTAGTAACCCAAGAAAGCAGACAAGCAACGGAGGACTGGAAAATGGAAAACAGACTCTGTGAGGGTTTCTCTGCCCTCCACGAGGTTGAAGGGGAAGAGGAAGTAAGTTATAAGTGGATTGATTTGAAGCTAGGATTAATTATTGCAAAGCACTAAGTGTCATAGCTTATTTTCCTAAACATACTGTTTTTGTGTAACTGCAATCAATAGTATTGAATTTTGTACTTGCGTAGTTTTTAAATTGACATTACATATATATGTATGTTACATATATATGTCAATTTCATATAATTAGCAATCTAATAAGCATCTTCACATATTTTAACAATAAGCTTCTACCAAAGCAGGACCAGCAATGATACCAGCCTGAAACAACATACCATGAACAAGATTATTTTTAGAATATCAATGATCAATGCCAGTATTAAAATGCAACACAACATGGCTCTGTGTTGTGCTTTCAGTTTTCCTCTATTAGGCCTTCATTCAAAGCTAATAAGTTTTTTTATGTGGTATGAGGACTTTATGAACATCTTGCATGTAATCGATTCTGTTCACATTTGAACGATCCCAAAGTGTGGGGAAAAAAAAAAACCAGCATTTCTTCTCCATTATTATAAATGCTAAAATGTATGATCTTTAAAATTGCAATTACTTGCCAGAAACATTTTGTCACTACAATCAAGTCTAAGTATTATTCAGCAAAACAACTAGGTTAGACACCTCATTTGAGCTAAATAATTAGTGGCAACTCCTTGTTCCTTTATTCATGTTAAACTTTTGAAGTGTTGAGCGAAAAAAAAAAAAAAAAGGAAAAACCCAAACAGATGAGCTCCACTTTCCAAAGGCATAGATGAGAGGGTGAGAATGAATGGATGACCGAAGCCTCAGGACTGCATGGAAGGCCTGAGCAAGCTAGAAGTTCAGTGATCGTTTTGACAGAACTGAATAAACTGCCCAGAATCCTTTGTTATCCATGACTGAGAAAGACGAGTTGTCTCTGGATTTTTTTTTTTCCTGACTGCATTCATACAGTAGTTTCTAAGGTTAGAGTTCAACCCAACTGGCCAGAGGTAAATGCCTATGTTTTCACAAAGATCAGAAATGTGTTCTACATCAACTTTTCCCTGTTTTGATGAGTTGATCAAGAGCAGGTATGAAAACAGAAACGACTTCCTTGCTGAGTCCAATGTTACATCCGCCTTAGCTTTCAGAAAACATCCCCTGTGTCCACCCGCCATTAGCGTTGCAACCAGGCCACTGTGGATGTCAGTGGCCACGAAGGAGAATCGTGCTTAGAACAGCTGAAACCAGGTCTCTGTGGCAAGCAAGGCTAGTAAAGCACTGTGAGGCAACACGCCTCCTGTCCTGACCTGACCTGGCACTTCATGGGGTAAACTGGCTGAAGTTGTTAAAGCCATTTGAATCCCAACATTTAAAATCACGGATATAAAATTCTACTACTTTGAATTGAGTAAAGATCATAATTCAAGTTGAGTGTGATCATAATTCAATAATCATATGCCTTGCTTTTTTGCGGAGGTAATATTTACTATCTGCTATAAGCCCTAAGCTTTCCTTGGCATCAATGCCACTATTTTATAAATTATTATTTTCATAAAAAATTCCCTTCGAATGCTTGGAGTGCTGGAAATGGTATTAAACATGGAGTTACACCATTTGGGTACTTAGAGCTGGCACTCAGTAACCTTGGATGAATCATTTAGCCTCTCTGGATCTTGGCTCATCGAATCATGAGAAATTTAGACCACATGGTTTTAAATGTCCCTCCCATATATAATGTTTTATGAATCTGTAATCCTATTTTGTACAGAACATCTCTAACCATTTTATTCTGTAATTTTCCACCATTTTCCTAATTCATTTTCACAAGAAAGAGAGCCTTAAGGGACAAAGATACTGCTAAAAAGGGAATTAATACAACAGAGGATACAGAGAACAGGTAAAGACTACATTTATAATATATTAGTTTTAGTGCTACTTTTTTAAAAAGTTAAACTCAGTAGACCAGTCAAGAAGGTTGTAGGCCGGGTGTGGTGACTTATGCCTGTAATCCCAACACTTTGGAATGCCGAGGCAGGCAGATCACTTGAGGTCAGGAGTTCAAGACCAGCCTGGCCAACATGATAAAACCTCATCTCTACTAAATATACAAAAAGTAGCTGGGCGTGGTGGCCGGCGCCTTTAATCCCAGCTACTCCAGAGGCTGAGGCAGGAGAATCACTGGACCCGGGGAGGCAGAGATTGCAGTGAGCTGAGGTCATGCCACTGTACTCCAGTCTGGGCAACCGAGTGAGACTCTGTCTCCAAAAAAACAAAAAAAAAAAAAAAAAAAACCCAGAAGATTGTAACCAAGCTTGCAAGAAAAAAAATTAGATTGGATAGACTCCATGAGCAAAAATCAAAAGAGGAAAAACCATACTTTATGAAATAGAAAGAAGGAAGAAAGAAAAAGAAATTAGGGAGAGCAATAAAGAATGAGAAGACAATTTAAAGAAGGATTAGTAAATAATAATGCAATCAATAATGAAAATTATATTTCCAAATAGTATGTTTTTCAATTATATGTAAGAAGCCTCACAGTTGTAAAAACTAAATGCAATGTAGTCACTAGGAGAAAGGAAAACAGAAGGATCATTCCATTTTGATTTGCCCTGAAAATGAAATAAACCAAGTAGAAAAAGGCAGATAAAGAGGTAAAAAAAAATTAGTATTTCCATTACTAAAATGTTCTTGAGAAAGTTATTATTTTTAATGTAAATGAAATGCAAATTTACACATTCCTTTTCTTCCCCAGTTTTGTTAGGGTAAAGGCCAGGCAACATGGAACACATTACTTACAACAGGTCTCAACGGTGAATTTGCCCTGTATAGTAGTTTTATATTTCTGCTTTACCATACATGAAACACAGTTTATTATAGAATGTGACAAACAATAGTCCAACATCTAGAAACTGATTTGTAAGTAACATTGCAGAAGGGGTAGGAAGATCTAAATTCTACTCTCATCTGTTGTTTAGGAATTGTGCAGTCTTTGGCGAATTACTGTGAATTTTATGTTCCTTATGCATAAAACCTGCATTGCTTAATTCCTAGTATTGCTGTGACATATAAGTGAGATATTTCTGCACTGCTCTAGATTTAAGAATTGGTTTTCAGAATGTTCAAAGGGTGATGAGAGGGAGTTACGAATGAGAGAGAAGCATTGAAGACACCGAGGTTGAAGGAGCTGGGAGCTGAACTGAGCTTCCTGATAAGGCAACAAGGAATGAGATTCAGAGCAAAAGATGGTGCTACTCCTTTCCTTGGGGCTGAACCGCCTGGGGTAAGGGGAACAGAATAGACACAGAGACGTTTGTGGATTTGGTGGAGGCACTTTGCTTCCCTCAGAAGATAGCTATGTTTTGTAAGAGGCCAGCTATTGGCTATGGGTGAGGCCAGGCTAAAAAGATAATGAGATAGAATTGAAAGTGAGGTCCAAACTCACCTGGAATTCAAATGAATGCCAATAAGATGCTTATTAAAGGCAGGGACAGTTTGAGGCACATTTGAAATGCCATAGAGACACCTGTGAATTCTTCCCTGGAATCTATCATTGATTGGTCACTGGAACTTGTAAAACTGATGTCAACATGCACACGTACACATTCCTTCCTTTTCAATCATAAAATGAGAACAATACTAATTGCTTTCTACTTCTTATGTAATGTGATGATTGAAGAAAATGGCTGAAAGCTGTTTTCTTGCAAGATGAATAAAGTAGTCCTGGAAATGTAAGCCTTTCAAAATTATATTAATACTCTTTTAAAACTAAGAGATTGCATCAGGTCAGGAGTTGCAGAGGGGACTCAGAAAGACTGATCTGAGACCAGCATAACCTGTGTGATAACATGCTTCCTAAGGTAAGATTTTCAGTAACGCAGGGGGTGGTGAGGTTGATGCGTGAGGGAATGGGCTTTTTCAAAGCAGAGAATACTGTGAAATAATTCAAAAGGGCAAAACAGGTAAGTGATGAAAATGACGCATTTAAATACCATCAAGAGCTGTGCCCTGTATGAGAATATAAGGAGCTACGCTAACTATGTGAGGTCTATTTGTGATTCTTTTGTACTCCTTCTTTATTGAGAAGCAATAAACAATCATGAAAATAGATTTTAAAACACATTTCTTCTAAAGAACATTGACAATTGAAGATTTTCCTTGGCTATTTTCAAGGCTAATTCTCAGGGTTCTTTTTCTTTTTTCTTTTGAGAAACCTGATAAAGATGATACCCGCTTACAATCTAGCCCCAACCAAAATGATTGCATAATGTAGATTTGCCACAACTAACACTGTCTCACATTGTAAATACAAGGAACTGAAGCTAACAGAGTTATAGCAAGTTATAACAGAATTTTGGAGAAACAGTTTGCAGCTTCTCAAAGGCTGTTAGTACAATTCATTGTGAAATGATACTGCATAATTCATAATAAAAATGACCCTGAATAGTGACAGCAAAAACAAATAAACATGCCTAATGCTTACAAAATTGCTGAAGACAGAAATAACCCTCATAATAACTTGAAAATGATTTTGAACCTGCCTCTAATGGTAAACATGACACCCTTTCTGCTGTCACACAAATACTTCCTTACCGTAGTAACATTTGAATGGTGCAAATCTTTAAAATGGTTCTATTTTTAAAATGAAATATAAACTTTGAAATGTTTCTTTAACACCCACACTGGGTTGTATTAACCTACTAAGGAGAGAATACATTAGACATTATGGGATAAAGTTTTCTGTGAATATATTTATTCCTCTAAAATTCTGAAGACATGAATATAGAATATGATTAGAACTTCAACAACAGTGCAAATCAATTCCAATGGTCCAAGTGAATGTAAATAAAGAATTAAAACATCTTAGAAAATTGCTTTCTGCCTCAGTTAAATCGAGTTTGCAGGATAAGCAGAACATCTTTAATAATACAGAGGCATCTTGAAAAATGGGTCATAATTCTTCATTGCTCTTCCTAAGCACAGATGGAAACTTTTCTGAAAATACAATTCCTTCCTTCCTTCTTCCCGCCCTCCCTCCCTCCCTTCCTTTCTCTCTTTCTTTCTTTCCTTTCTCTCTCTCCCTTCCCTTTCCTTCCCTTCCCTTCCCTTCCCTTTTTCCTTCCCCTCCCTTCCCTTTTTCCTTTCCTTTCCCTTCCTTCTTTCCTTCCGATTAGGTCTAGCTCTGTTGCCCAGGCTGGAGTATAGTAGCACAATCATAGTTCATTCCAGTGTGTAACTTCTGGGCTTAAATGATTCTCCTGCCTCAGCCTCCTGAGCAGCAGGGACTACAGGTGTGGGCCATCACCACCTGGCTAATTTTTAAAATTGTTTGTAGAAATGGGGTCTTGCTATGTTGCCCAGGCTGGTCTCAAACTCCTGGCCTCAAGCGATCCTCCTACCTCGAGCTCCCAAAGTGCTGGGATTACAGGTGTGAGCCACTGCACCTGACTCTGAAAAGGCCAATTTTTAATCTAAAATTATGGGATGAAAGGGATGACAATAATCAGGCCCACTTGCTAACAACATTCTGGTTGCTGGGAGGTCTCTAGCTCATTTCCCTGGGAAGAGCAGGGATCACTTTTTTCCTACACTCTTACTGTAGCAACTCTGATTATCTTGAGGGGGCAACTAGTGAGGAAGTGCTTATCAACTTGCAGGAGGAGAATTCCTCTTAGAGTTAACTCTCTAATCTTTTAACTTGATATAAATATCAAATGTTGCTTAAGGACCAAACAAATAGTTTGTACAGTGAGTGATCAACTTATCTTATTTCTCCAAAGAGTGATAAAGATATAAATTATGTTAAGAAAAGCAGGCATAAATTCATAGACAAATGAGCAGTTGTTGACTGATGTTTTTCTTTTTCTTTGAAACAGAGTCTTGCTCTGTCACCCAGGCTGGAGTGCAGTGGTGCAATCTTGGCTCACTGCAACCTCTGCCTTTCGGGTTCAAGCAATTGCCCTGCCTCAGCCTCCCCAGTAGCTGGGACTACAGGCGCACGCCACCATGCCTGGCTAATTTGTTTTGTATTTTAATGGAGATGGGGTTTCACCATGTTGGCTAGGATGGTCTCAGTCTCCTGACCTCGTGAGCCGCCCACCTTGGCCTCCCAAAGTGCTGGGATTAAAGGCGTGAGCCACTGCACCTGGCCGACTGACATCTTAAAGTTCTGATTTTACATCTTCTCTTACTAAACATTCCTTGGAAGCATGCATACCAGGTATTTAGAAATTGTGGCTCAATGGCTATAGTATCTAAGTTGCTATTTATTACTTAACCTATGCTATGCGATAATTGAAAGAGGTAACTCTGTTGTAGATAGAAATATACTTAAAAATCAAACAAAACATGATCCGTGTATTATTTTTTGAAAAGCAATACCTGAACAATTAATTATCTCAAAAGAAGTCATAAGATTTTTCTGGATCGTTCATGCAAGGTCCTCATTTATACACATAATCATCTAGATATGTTTGTAGCATTCTAATAAACAAGCTAGACAGTACTAATTTTTATAAAATAATCATTTACAAATAATCATATCTTCAGCTAATGTTGACCACAATTTTGTTATTGATTATAATGTAAAATGAAAAGAGGTTACGCATTTTACGGGGCAAAAAAAAAAAAAAACAGGAAGAAGTATTCCTTTCTTCCAAGTGCTTGACTCTTTTTATAGTATCCCAAATTATAATCAACCTTCTTTCATGCCTGCGGTGATTAGAAAATTTTGCTTGTCATCCTGGATCAAAGTAAGTCCATCAAGAACTTCATCAACGTTTATTGTGTTTCTAAAATGTGCCAGTTTCCTGCTGGATGCTGGGGTACCCAAGGTCAAAAGATACTCTTATTCAGCTCCTGGGTTGGAGGCATATGGTAATAAACAACTCAAATACGATAAAGGCTATAAAACAGGAGAGTATAGAACCATATGCTCCAAATGGACACATGACTTCTGCTTGTAGAGAGAGGAAGAGAGGAGGGTCCCGTGAATGCCAAATGTACATTCACCCGAAAAGAGGAAAAAGGCTTTTCCAAGTCTACAAAGCAGTTGAGGTCATAATTAGGAAATTAGAATTAGCTAATATAGCTAAGACTATTGGTAAGGTACCTCAATGATCAGATAAGACAAAATGGAAATCTCAGTCAGAAGCAGGCTCTAACAGTAAAGAGATGGAATGATAGACATGCATAACAAAGTGGAAATTAAGAAGACAAAATGAGGGAGACAGGGAAACGTAAGGTTAGCCGAGGAGATGGCATTCCCATTCTGTGCATTCAACTTCCATCTTTAGAAATGTTTATGTTGAATTCCAAACTATAAACTGATGTTAGCCTAAGAGCAACAGAAGTATAAGTAAAATTAAAAACTCACTCAAATCACTTTCACCACAATAAATATAACTGTTTTTTTTCTCATGATGGTTTACAGTCCTTGGTCATATATACACAATTTTTGGATGAATACATGGAAATATAGAAGCAATTAATATTTTACTTTTCTAGGTAACAATATGAAGGTCACATATTAATCTTATGCCTGTCACATATTTCTGGAAATATTTTTCAAATCCATGGATTCATACATACACAATAAAGGTTTTAAAGAATTTTAAAAGTTACCTAATGTTTAAGTAGATTTGCCAAAATTTACCTTCCTGTTGAGTTTGTCTAAGTTATAGGCAATATTTTATTATCATAAACAATCTGGCAATAAACTTGTTTATGCATTTTCCCATTTGAATTATTTCCTTTTGATTCACTTGTGGAAGAAAATTAATATGTCAAAGTATGTAAACATTTTAATAGCCATCAATAAATATTTTGTATTTTTCTATAAACCATGCATGTTTAAATAACTCTCTCCCAACTAGTCTCTACACTATTTGAGGCTAGGGACTATGCTTTTACATTAACGGGCCAGAACCTAGTACATTGCTTGGTACCTGACACAGATACCCAATAATACTAAACAATCATGGCGGACTAACAGTTTCCACCAACTATCCATTCTTTCCCCTTTTAAGGGCATGATTTGTATTTTAACTGATGTAGCAAAAACGCATCTTGAGGATGACTTCTTTTAGCCTCCCATGAAAACTATGCATAGATACTGGTAGATGTGAAGTTAAATCCTGGCCAATTAGTATTATGCAGGATTTTCAGGGACTCTCCCTAAAGGAAGATGGCCAGGTTGGCATATTTCCCTGTTGAACTTCCTAGAATTATCTTTCCTGCTGCATGGACAATAGAGGTGGTAGCTAGAGCTCCAGTAGCCATCTTATACAATGAGGTAATTCTGAGGATAGAATTCGAGTACTAGGATAATGAAGCAAAAATGAGACGGTGCTTAGATACCTAGCTACAGTTACCGCACCTTCCCTTGAATTACTGCCTCAGGACTTATTCTATATGAGAGAGGAATAAACATTTATCTTACTTACATTCATTTTATTTCTGAGATTGGTTTCTAAACAGCTGAACTAAACAGCTAATGATAAAATAATTTTGAATGAACTAAATAACTGGTTAAAAATGTTAAGTAAAAATGAAATACAGCATTTTACCTCAACTTTGAGTATACACTTTTTTTAATTTTAGAACTTATTCATTTTATAAATTAGAAATGTCAACTCATATTTTAAAATTCACATTCATTTTATTAGTAGGAATGTTTATTTTAGTACTGTATGTAATATGTTGTGAAGTAACCATTCATCTCTTGCAAACTTATTTTTTTTAATCTTAGAACTTTGTCACGAGTTTATATGAACTCTTCATATGATATGAATGTACTGTGAAAAGTAAACCATGATACCACATCAATTTCTTCTCATCTGTTTTTATGTATATTTGAGAAATCTATTGTTTTTGTGACATTTTATATTTGTATATTTCCTTCTAATTTTTTGTAATTCTTCAGAGAAGATGTATTCATCACCCCTACAGAGAACTGGCAAATATTCACATTTATTTACACTTGCTTCCATAAGATTCATTTTGAAATTTGAATCCACCTGAAATTGAATTTTGTAAATTGTTTCTCTGAATTGAATTTTTTTCATTTGATTTTGAAGTGTCTTTGTATATTAAATAGAGCAAATAACCAGATCTTGAATCCTGGGTCTTACTAATAAATTTCTTAACTTGAATATATTTGAATTCCTCATCTGCAATATTGGGAAACGTTGGGATTACACATGTAAAGTATTGTGCCTAGCTCATACTCTTTAGTTTCATACAGTCTATTACCTACAAACTGAGGATTTTAGTGCATTCATGAAAAATAAGTTGGAATCAGTTATATTAGCTAAATGTTACTTCAATTTGTTGTTTCTGGATTGTTTCTAAAATTTCAAATAAGACTGGATTTCAAAACTTACATCTTTAATTTGTACTTTTCTGAGGTGCATGTCATTTAATTTTTTGGTTTTCAAATTAAGTTATATGTTCTTTATTTTTATGGAGTGAAGCAGGTTTCACTACATTCACTGTGGTACAAGAATGGAACAAATAACTGCATAGCTAATTCTCTTTCTACTAGATAAGTTTTCCCACTGTTTTCTAAAATTTTTAGACGTGATTTATGCCTATTCCCAGGAAAGTGGCAAGGTTGGCTGGACTCTGAATTTAGTGGAAACATTTAACTGAAGAAAGCTTCTTAGAGGTAAAACATTCATTTTTTCTTTGCATTTAGTTCCCAAATGGAGACAAATAGCTTAAAAGCAATATTAACCTCAATGTGCTTCGGCTATTTATCCTCATAAGGAAGGGCCTGAAAACAAGAAAACAAAGCCCATAAAAATGGTTTTATTTAATCACACAAGTATATCTCACCAAAAATCTTTAGTTATTTCCTTAGGGCTTCATTCTAAGCTCTGTAACTCATGCACAAATTCTATGGATGTCAGTGGGAACTGTGCATGTGGAACTCTGGGCCAAATTTGGTTGTCATGGATGAAATTAGTCAAAGAGGGCATTCGATCAATTTCTTAAAACATAAAGTACTCTCATTCTGTAATCCTTTCCCATCTTTCCAAATTTATTGACCTAATCCAGTAATAATTATTGAATCTCCGTAATATACATCAAACCACAATTTCATGCATGCATCATAGAGTCGCTGGCCTTAGAACATTTACCTTTCCACATAAATGTTAATAATCTTGCAGCAATATTTCATCCTAGCAAGAAGAGAGTTTTGTGGCATACCTTGTGACAAGGTCAATTTCACTTAAGGAAAAATGCTAACATTTTAAAAGTCAGCCATTAAATTGAGGTTATTATTGCATTTTCCTTATCTTGTTACAGGAAAGTAATCTCATTTCACTAGTGCCCTAGTTATTTAAGTAGGTTTACAAATATTTATTCAAAGTCGAGATGTGTAAATGAAAAATTTTTATCATCTTCTAGGTTCCAAAGAAATTGTGTTTAAGAAAATTTGCCTTTAAAAATGTTTATTTAGATATTTTTAGCATGTAAATTTTTCCCTGTAAGACAAAATCTTCTTCAAATAGCATGCAACTTGTTAGAATAAATACTGCTTCCCTTAGGGGCTAACCCAAGCTCTCTCTTTAGTGAGTAAACTGAAAGTTAAATTTCTTCTGTAACTTGAGCTGCAGATTGCAAATATCCACAGAAACTGCCCTTGCAGCCTCTGAAGGGAGACTCTTAGTGACTCTTTCACTTTGCCTGAAGTCATTTGCTGTCCTTTTCCTCAAGTGCAGTGCAAGAGGCATCCACAGACACCGTGGGAGATTCAATTATCCTCAAATTATAGTGAGCCATAACAATCTTTTGGAGACTTTTAAAAATGAGGATTCCCAGGCTTTGCCCTGCATCACTTTTAGTTATCTGGTCTGGTGTGGATGCTGCATTTTTACTGAGCCTTCCAGGTGGTTTGGGATGCTGTTCATTTACAGATCACATCCATGAACACTGGGATCAAGAAAGTGAAAGCTGAGTTGGCAAAAGGAAGAGTGTGGTGTGAATTACAAGGTCAAGACTGCTGTGTGCCAAGCATGGTTTGCATCAACTTGACAAATGCAGAAAAAGTTTACTGTTAAGGGAGGCTGCTAACAACACCTGGCATCTAGAAGGCTCTCAATGATTGGGAATTAAACCAAATGCTACTTTTCATCAACACTGACGTGTTTGCCAATATTACCACTCTGATATTAATAGTATCTGTGACGCTACTCATAGCAGTGCTATTTATGACCATTCTGGATGGAACTGTGTCCCCTCCAATTTCCTTTGTTGAAGTTCTAACCCCCAGAACCTAAGAACGTAACCATACTTGGCAATAGTGTATTTAATGAGGTGATAAAGTTAAAATGAGGTCATTAAGGCCTGGACCCTAATCGAACATGACCCCCCTCCTCATAAAGTTTATGCATTTTATAAACTATAAAGTTTAGAAAGAATTTTCTGAGAGTGAAAAGGTAAGCTATTAATAATTATGTCAGGACATACTAGGCTAACAGGCATGTATGAAGACTGTCCTGGCAAAATGGGAACTATATTCACCCTAACTATAAGGCATATGGTTGTACTGTAAATACACACCTGGATTCCACCTCTTGGTGTTTGGCCGGAGGAAAGAGAGCCCCTCTGAAGATAAAATAAGGTAAAATAACAAAGTCTTCATACTTCCTCACTTCAAAAACATAGTAGTTCATAATTATTATATTATTTTGCTGATCATAACTTTAATTAATATAAAAATACACTTGGGGAACTTCCAGTAATGGCAGAGAGTAAAGTGGTGAGGCAAACCCTTTCACATATCACACTAGGAAATTTGGATAACATTTCAACTGCGATTGAAGGGTCCTGGAAAGCATGCCGAAGTGGATGGATTGTTGAAAAACTGCAACAGGAAGAGGTAAGAATTGAGACTTTAAACTGTTCTTGCCAAAGCACACTTCCAATCCCCAGGATTATTGGGTAGAAAACCACATACAGGCTTACTCTCTTGGCTTGAGATCATGGCAAAGAGAGTTCAGGAATGGAAAAGTAGCTGAAAAGTATCTAAAGCCAGGCTGAAGTCAATGAAGCTTTTCTCCCCCTTGAAAAGCTGTTACGGAAAGGGTAAGGATTGTGAGTTTCTAGTTTTCTTGACCAAGCTTGCTTCCTAAATGTAGGCTTTCTTATTTGGTTACAGATGACAGAGAGAATGTAGTGTTGGAAAAGAAGTTGGAAGTTTAAGAGGGAGATTCTAGAAGTGTGAGAAAAAAAAAGAACAGATCCCTAAACCTGAATTATAAACTCTGCCCAAACTCCAGGCAGCCCCCTAAATGCCATGTTTGCAGGGAAGACCTGGGGGGCTTGGTGAGGGTTGCAGGAGGCAGATTGACACCAGAGAGACATTTTTCTCTGAAATACTTTGTTTCACTGGGAGAAATTTTGTGAGTTTGCTGCTTTTTAAATGAAAGGCATTCCCTAATCCGTGCACAGCTCAGGTGGCAGAAAACCAGGTTTCTTGGACTGAGGTGTCAGAAGACAGAGTTGGAAGTTGGAGAAGTGGAAACTTAGGAGGATTTTCCAAACGCAAGGAATCCACTGAGAGTGTGAATCACAAAATTTGAAGGTAAACTGCCCAAATGCTTGAATGATCACCAAACTCTACAAGTACAAGCACAGGGAAGATTCACAGGGGACCAGACTGAATAAAGAAGCACAGTTTGAAATTTGAGTCCAGAGAAGTTAACTGCCTGTTTAGAACTAAACAATTAAACAAGCATCCTTTATTGGTATGGTGAATATAGAGCCAATACTGAAACACACACGAAGAAATGGGGGTGGCCAGCGTGTGCCCATGAGTACAGCCCAGGATAAGATGACTTGTCCTCCCTGTCTTGCAACTAAAAGCATTGGCTCTGGATCAAAATGCCTGCTTCACAATTGACTAGCTGTTTGAACTTTCGGAAACTGCTTAACTTCTGTGCTCTGCTTTTTCATCTCTAAAATGGCAATAATAACAGTGCTTCCTGTTTTGGGCACTTATGGCGATTAAATGAATTAATACACATCAGGCACTTTTAAACAAAGTGCATCATGTTAGCTATTATGACAATCACAGTATTGTTGAGGAGGACAATAATACAATCCTTCCTCCAACACTTACATGCAATCCCAGGGTTAAGGAGGGGTAGTTGTAGGGAGAGATCTTGAATTTATTAAAAACATTCTGAATTGGCTTTGATTATGTTAAGTTGCAAAGTAACAGAATAGCCGCACAAAATGTAGTGACATGGAAAAAAATCATATTTATCCTTGTACAGCTGTATTAGTTTGTTCTCATGATTCTAATAAAGACATACCCAAGATGGTGTAATTTATAAAGGAAAGACTTTTAATTGACTCACAGCTCCACAGGGCTGGGGAGGCCTCAGAAAACTTACAGTCATGGCAGAACGGGAAGCAAACATGTCCTTCTTCACATCATGGCAGGAAGGAGATGAATGAGTGCCCAGAGAACGGGGAAGCCCCTTGTAAAACCATCAGATCTCCTGAGAACACCCTCACTATGAGAATAGGATGGCGGAAACCACCTCCGTGATTCAATTTTCTCTACCTGGTCCTTCCCATGACGTGTGGGGATCGTGGGAACTACAATTCAAGATGAGATTTGGGTGGGGACACAGCCAAACCATATAAACAGCTGAACTAGATTTGTGCCTCCTGCTTAGACACCCACATATACGCATACTTGCGTACACACTCATGTGTGCTGTTAGCTCACACAGGGTATATTGGATATCTTGCTTTTTTGGTCTATTTTATAAGTAGTTTAATTGTAATTCTGGCTTTTCTTAATCCAAAAATTCAGGAAGGATTTTAAAATCTCTAACTTTTAAGGCTTTTTCTTTTCTTTTTATAAAAATAAATTTCTAATATTACTGAATTCTGGTCAGGGAACGCAGTTTACAAAACACATGAAAATAGTTTCAAATCCACTTAGTTATTGTAGGGTTAAACTTCTCATATAATTTTTTAATTTTTTCTTCCAGGTTCACTCATGCACTCAAATTTTTGCTGCTACTTCCTGTGGATATCTTGCCTCTTAAACATAGGGATAAAGTGATGAATAAAACTCAATTTCTCTTCTTAAAGCTCTCACAGGGCACTAGAGATAAAGACAGAAAACTTTTAAAGTAGAAATCATAGCAACATTAGATTTAGGCAGAAGGGTACAGTAATAACATTAAATGCAGAGTCATCAGTTGAAGAATTGGAAAGGTGGATATATCAGGGCTTCCTAAAAGAAGTGTTATTTAAGCAGCATCTTAAAGAATGGTAAGTCATTTTCTAACAGAGTGGAGAAAGGAATTCTAGGAACAATGAAGAATATGTATAAGGTTACAGTAGCATAAAAGAATAAGGCAAATTCAGTGAATTGGAAGTCATTCCAAATTTTAAGCATAGCGGAAGTAAGAAGATAAGATCTGATGGGAAGACAAGCTTGAGATTGTATTTTGATTTAGTTCATGTGCAGTGAGAGCTTGAAATAAGGCTCTAAGGTGAACATTGAGGAAAAGGAATAGAGTTTCAGCACACCTGCAAGAGTACTGGGGGACTGGTTTGCAGTGCCAGGGGAAGGCATACAGTGTGGGAGTGGATGCGAAGCCTTGGGAAAGGTCAGATATTCAGAGGATCCGAGGCTTCATCCGATTTCTGGTCTAGGTTGATCATTTCTTTGTTAATAGAGATGACGTTTTTTATGAAAGCGTATAAGCTGAGAAGGAGAAGGATAAGTCGGTTCCTGTACACACGGACTTCACACTTCCTGTGGGATAGCTCCGTGGTGCTGTCAGGTGGGAGACTGGGAATACGACTTTAGAATTCCAAGTTTGAATTCTGGGCTGGTAACTTGTGCTTGGAAAAGACTGAAATTCTGCCAGTGCATTTATGTACAGTGAGATGATCGGAGTCAGAGAGCAAAAGACAGAGGCTAGGAGGCTGACTTATTTAAGGGATGGTCAAAGAAGAGGGATTTGGTAAACATAACTGTACAAGTTAGGGTTCCCCAGAGAAACAGATCCAACAGGCTGTATATACACAGACACATACTTTCATGTGTCCCTTAACGATAGGGATACATTTTGAGAAATAAGTCCTTAGGTGATTTTGTCGTGGGAGCATCTCAGAATGTAGTTACATGAACCTAGATGGTATAGCCTACTATACACCTAGGCTATATGGTAGGCTCTATTGCTCCTAGGCTAAAAGCCTGTATAGCATGTGACTCTACTGAATCCTATAGGCAATTGTAGCACAATAGTAAGTGCTTGTGTATCTAAATATAGAAAAGATACAGTAAAAATACAGCATAAAATATAACAAATTTTACAGTACCTTTATAGGCATTTACCCTTAATGGAGTTGCAGGACTGGAAGCTGCTCTGGCTGAGTTAGCGAGTGAGTGGTCAATGAATTCGGTGAATGGCCTAGGGCATTACTGTATATTACTGTAGACTTTAGAAACACTGTACACTTAGGCTACACTGAATCTATAACAAAAATTTTGTTTCTTCAATAATAAATTAATCTTAACTTACTGTAACTTTTTTACTTTATACACTTTATTTTTTAAAATTTTTTGACTTTTTGACACAACGCATTGTATGGCTGTACAAAAAATAATTTTTATTCTTTTCTTTTCCTTTTTTTTTTTTGTTTGAGACTGAGGTCTCGCTCTGTCACTGAGGTTAGAGTACAATGGCACAATCACAGCTCACTGCAGCCTTAAATTCCTGGGCTCAAGGGATCTTCCTGCCTCAGTCTCCCAAGTAGCTGGGACTACTCTCTGTGTGCACCACCACATTCAGATACTTAAACAATTTTATTTTGTAGAGACAGGATCTCATTACGTTGCCCAGGCTGGTCTTGAACTCCTGGCCTCACACAATCCTCCTACCTTAGCCTCCCAAACTTTTGGGATTATAAGCGCGAGCCACTGTGCCCAGCCCTATTTCTGTATATACTTATTCTATAAGTTTTTTTATTATTAAAATTTTTTACATTTTTTTTACTTTTAAAATTTCTTTGTTAAAAATGAAGACACAAACACACACATTAGCCTAGTCCTAGACAGGGCCACGATCATCAATACCACTCTCTTCCACCTCCACATCTTGTCCCTCTAGAAGGTTTTCAGAGCAACAAGAAGCATGGAGCTGTCATCTCCTCGGGTACCAATGCCGCCTTCTAGATACCTCCCAAAGGGCCTACCTGAGGCTGGTTTACAGTTTACTATGTTTTTAATAAGCAGAAAGAGTATACTCTAAAATAACCATAAAAAGTAAAGTATAGTAAATACGTAAACCAGTAACATAGTCCATTATTATCATGATCAAGTATTACTTAGTGTACATAATTGTATGTGGTATACTTCTATATGACTGGCAGTGAAGTAGGTTTGTTTATAGAAGCATCACCACAAACATGTAAGGAGTGTGTTGCCCTACCCTGTTAAGATGCTTACGACATCACTAGGCAATAGGAGCTTCTCAGCTTTATTATCATTTTATGGGACCACTAACATCTATGTAGTCTGTCATTGACTAAAAAATCATGATGTGGCACATAACTGTATATATACATGTATCTATACATGCATACAGACACACACACACACACACACACACACAGAGAGAGAGAGAGAGAGAGAGAGGGGTTTACTTTAAGGAATTAGATCATGTGATTTTTGAAGGCTGGCTAGTCCAAAATCTACAGAGTAGTCTAGCTGCAGACCCAGAGAAGAGTTGCTTTTGGAGTCCAAATGCAGTCTCCTGGAAGAATTCTCTTCCCCTCGGGAGAGATGAGGCCTTTTTCGACTAGGGGTTTTAACTGATTGGATGAGGCCCACCCACATTATTGTCAGTAATTTGCTTTTGCATTATTTTTTAGAAAAACCTTCTTAGAAACATCTAGAAGCATGTTTCAGCAAACACCGAGTACTATGGCCCAACCAAGTTGATGCATAAAATTAACTATAACAAAAACTGAGGACAATTCAATAATGAAGACAGAGAAATAGGTAGAGAGAGATTTCGCGAAGCAAAGAGAGGAAAGGATTTCAAGAAAAAAACCAAGCCGCCCAGAAGATTTTATGTAGGATGTGAACTGAAAATATGCTACTGGACAAAGCAATAGGAAGTCATCCTGGGGAAATAACTTTTTGGCTTCACAGAAGCTAAAAGGAAAGACACCGAGAAGCTAATAGGAGGAGAGAAATTTGGAGACACTGTATGCTAATTACACACACTAGAAACTTAGCTTGTGAATAGAAGAAAAGTGACACAGTGATGGCCAAAGGGCGAATAGGGTGATGAGGATCTGCTTTCTGCTATGAGACTTGGAAGGAAATAAAATAAACCTGCTAAGATTAACACCTTGGCTGATGATAGTAAAAGTGACTACAGCTCAACAAGTTAACACTCTAGGTGTAATTGCAATTTAATAGGGATTCATAGAAACACGATACTCTCATCCTGAAGATTGATTCTCTAATAGCAAAATTTCAGTGGAAATTGCAGGGGCAGGGGATATTTGGAACACCTATTGATCTCCTGTCAATAGAACAAAGCCACACAGTTAGCTGCCACATCTGCAAGGCAGGTGGGGTGAGAGATGGCCATAAAGCATACATGAGACTTTAAAAATTTTTTTTTACCATTTCTTAAATTATTTTTCGATACTGGTTAATGCTGCATTCTGTAAAAATACATATTTTAATATTCATAAGCAAATTCTTCTTTTATTAAAAATAATATGCTCATTTGTTTTGCATCTTCTTATATCCAACCTTTTCAGAAGGTCAACACAAGGTGGAGGGGAGAAGATAGGAATAAAAAGCTTTAACGACTGGGAAAAAAACATTGTCACAGGCAAGATCAAGACTTAGCTTTTAATATTCAGGCCAGACTTTCTTTTACAAGATCCATTCCAGTCTAAGATAAAAAATATATACACCATGGATACACAATACCCACAAAAGTCTATCTCTTTCTTATGATGGCCAATTATTCTGATTTATGTCATAAAATAAATCATACGATCTATACATTGTTTAAAATTTCTTTGAAAGCCTTAACACTACTAAAAGGGGGAAAACCCTATAGTTTGAGACCCAGATCTTCATGCCATAAATAAATGCAAAGTATAAAATGTCTTCCATCCTATGATCTCATAAAGAATATAATACATTTTTGGTCATTGCCATAGAATATAAACTTTGAAATGCTGGAAAAAGCACATCTAATTTGAAGCAGGGAAGTAATCTCACTTGTTCCACTTGAGTTGGGCAACCAGGTGCTTTGCAGCATTTAAAGAACCTCCATTCAGTATAATGGGTTGGGGTCACTTCATCTAATGTATCTCATTATATTGAGGGAATATAATTATATCAGTGGCTTGTTTTCGACTTAAGAATGGGAACTTTCAATGTATTAAGGAAAGTAGTATCAGTTTATTTTCAGTATCTGATGCAATATCAGTTCATGGGATTTTATTTTTTGAAAGATTTGGATTTGGAAGAGAGTTAAAAATAAGACCCAATATCAAATAATTTATTACCCAAATCTTCTGATTTAGACATTTGAGCAGAAACGTGGGTTCTAGTGTTTTAGATTTCCTAGCCTCTTCTGGGGCCTGGAGTGACTAAGAGCAGTTTATCTCTGGTATGGGTTATTGAGGTCAATGGTCAAGGCCTAACTTGGCCTTTTCTAATAGGTAGGGTAGCTGTAAAGAACATTAATAGCTGTATAAACAGGAAGGACTTTGCATGTGAGGTTTCATTTCTTCTTTACAACAGTCCCATGCACTGGGTACATCTAAGTTGGGACTGTGTGAGGTTATTGCTTTGTAGGTCGGAAGTTGTAGAATATTGGCAATTTATGTAGTTCAGATTAAAAGTATTCTCACCTTAACAAAGAAACTGGGACTCACAAGAGTTAAATAATTTCCTCAAGATCAGATCACTAGCATCGTGCCCAATAACATAACAAACTGGATGGTTTTTTCACTGTGCCATTCACTTTCTTAGGAAAATTAGCTTCCAAATATTAGGAGATCCAAATGTCTCAAAATCTGCAGATACACATTATTTCTATTCTGTGCTTAAAAGTAGCTCAATCAAGTACGTCAAAGGGACACAAGAGCCTCCTGAAAGAGCCCCTAAGGCCCAAAGTTAGAACAACTTGAGCAACAAAATAAATAAGGTAGCATTGGATTACAACCCAAAGTATAAAATATGTGTCCATTAGTACAAACTGGTCTTAATAAATGATTGAATAAATAATAAATGGGGGAAATTGACAAATCTCCTGTGTAGAATGGCAAGTAATTTATGTAGTTAGTCTGCCCCTCAAGGAGGTGGAGAATAACGCCCCACTCCTTAAGTGAGGGCTGTGCATAGAGATTTTCTTTAACTTTGCGGTGGAAAAGCCTGACAAACGCTACCTGAAGTCAGATGATCAAGGTTAACGTCAATGGTGATAAGTCATGCTGATAGTATATACCCTTGATATGATGTGATGAGAGCGGCACTTTATCTCTGTGATCTTCTTCACACAAACTCATAACCCCAGTCTAATCATGAGGAAAACATCAGACAAATCCCTCCTGAAGGACATTCTGCAAAATACCTGACTGATACTCTTCAAAGCTGTGAAGGTCATCAAAACAAGGAAAGTCTGAGAAACTCAGAGCCAAGAGGCGCCTGAGGAGACCTGACAACTAGCTGTCATGCGTGGTATCGTGGATGGGCAGGATGCCCAAGATCTTACATTATTTTTAACTACAGTCCATACTTTATTCAGACTTTTCTGGGTTTTAACCTAATGCCTTGGGACAGAAACAGGGCATTAGATTAAAAACCAGAAAAGTCTGAATGAATTGGGCATTAATGTGACCAATGAACCACGCTAATGAAAAATGCCAATAATAGGGGAAACTCGGTATGGGGTCTATGGGAATTTTCTGTATTATCTTTGCAACTTTTCTATAAATCTAAGTGTATTCAAAAAATTTAAAATATTATTTGAAAAGTAAAAAGCAGCCAATCATTAGAGCATAATCGCTTAGTACATACATTCAAATACATCACGATCATAAAAATATATAGAATTTGATATATGTTTCCTGTTATGGAAAGACAGTGTGCTTATATATTTTTAATAGCAATCAAAAACAATTATTTTAAGGATTCAAGCAAAATGAGAAAAGGTCATTCTGAATACAATATGTTTTAAGCATGTATATTTGTTATAGAACTTAGGTTTGACAACTCAGAGTGATATGAATTTTTTAAAAATCACTGGTAAATGTTACTGATATATGCAGGCATTTCAAAAGAACATAAAGATTGATTAAACCATTAGCAATATACAAGTGCTTTATTATATCATAAAGTAAAATATTGAGCATAAATAAAAATATATTCATAACATGAATTCCTCAGAGAATTCTTTCCTAGTTCTATGCTTACTCTCCTTATCTATCTACAGGTTGTTCAGAGGAAATGGAGATACAATACCGAGAGTAAAAAGATATTCTCTTCATAGTGATGTGGAAAAGTGCTGGGCTATTAACCGAGTCAAAATTATTACATATTATTTAAAGAATTAGACTATTTTCTACTTAAATTTAAATTAGCCATTTAAAAAATTAAAATAATGCAAAAGTTGAAATAGTGCAAAAACTGAAATAATGCTACAGTGCTCTGTCTACAAGCATTTATAAAGACCTCAACTTCTTTGTTTTTAGATAATGGTATTCAAAGTTTATTTGCTCACTGTGATAAATTCTAATGCCCTCACAGTCCAGCACAGGAATAAAAAAGAGTCTAGTCCCATGGTTATTTTTTCACGGTTTCTGTTTCCTACACTGTATGTGAAATGCTTTTCAGATTGTTTAATGAATTTAGACTTAGAAAAGAAACTGAATATTTTCAACAACTCCACAAGGTACACTTAAGAACACAAGATATCTTCAGAAACCTCCAAAATAATCAGAATGGCCAGTAAGACTTCCTGAAAATGCAGATGAAGCTTGATTATGTATAAAACTCTTTGAT
The DNA here is from genome assembly GCF_000001405.40 of Homo sapiens. NCBI lineage: Eukaryota > Metazoa > Chordata > Mammalia > Primates > Hominidae > Homo > Homo sapiens. The sequence continues at coordinate 181,320,949 of NC_000004.12, read as the reverse complement.
ATAGAAATGCTTAAAATTTATCAAGTAATGTTGCTGAAGAATGCCATGTATTCCATTGCTAATATTCTTCTGCCTAAAAAAAAATCCAGGAGGCACTTATCTCAAATGCAACACATTCCCCTTTATATAACATCTTTAGAATGTAGTCATTTCATATCATCTATCACCCCGTCACAATTTTCTTAAGATTTCTAACCTCTCAAACTTACTTCTCTTATTACAGACCACATGATTTATGAGTACTGAGAGTTACAGAGACAGCTGTGAGATTAACATTGTAACCTATCCCAGATCACCTGAGAAACTGTTTCTTCTGAAATACACTGTCACATTGAAATGGAATTACAACATATTTTGGGGGCAATTCTGGCATGTGCTTTTAAACTTACTCGTTCAATTGTAAAGAAAAATAGAGTAGAAATAGAGAAAATTGTGCTACATTTATTTGCTTTGACTTCCTGTAAAAATAATGTGGAGGTTTAATCAACGATTCATCATAATAAGATAGAATTTCACTTATCTAACATCTTACAAATTTTCTATAAATAATACATACTTACAGAAGTCATTAAGAAAGGAAACAAATGACTAATTTTAATATTCCATTGGAAATACATTAGAATCCATCCTTTTGTTAATGCTTTTGTGCTACAGGAATGTTTTAAACTTCAAGGGAAAGATGAAGTGTAACAGTACATTTTGATTTGATATTAAGTGTTAAGTACCTGAGGAGAAAACTGTGAGAATGTGTTGCTTAAAAAAATTTATACGGTGATATTTTAGAAATAGAAATATAATAGATTTATGGCAACTCCTTACATTTTTTTTTCGTAAATGCTCACAACAGATACCAACCAAAGGTGTGCAAATTTATTATTCCTGAGTCTTTCTGGTGGAAACCTAAAATAGAACAGCTGGCTCCACTAGAAATAGCTCTGATCTTTCTAGAAGAGAGAGATGCTGGATTCCAGGTAAGGAGTGTACTGAAGATGAAGAGTAGCCTGAATGAATGAATAGCTTTCGCCTATAAGCGTTAGCCACCCTCCAAACTATCACCTGTGTCTTTGCTACTCAAAGTGTGGGCCACAGGCCAGTGGCAGCAGCAGTACCCGGGATCTCGTTACACACAGAAAATCTCAGGCACCAGCCCAGCAAGATTCCCAAGTGCTTTGTACTCACATTGAAATTTGAGAAGGACTGGCCTGTACCGATCCTGGTTATTCTCCCTGCCTACATATTGGAATTGACTATGGATATTTAAAAAAAAAATACTGGGGTTCAGGTCTCACCCTAAGACAATGACAGAAGTTCAGACAGTTTAAGTGAATTTCCAACATCACACAGCCAGCTCTGAATCTTCCACAGAGCCAAAGCTTTCTAACTTATGCCTTACCTATAGTATTTCCCCCATTCAATTTTAGGAAGTTCAGATTTTTCTGAAGGTTTTACAATTCTCATCTTTCACTGAATAAAGATTTTGGGAGTTTGTCTGCTATTAACTGCTAACATCAATTTTCAATTATTTTTTTAAGAGCCATCTCATAGTTGTACCTGATGCAAACTAGATTGGTTTTACTTCACTTTCCAATATAGACTGCACTTTGAATCATGAATTATGAATAAATATCATCCACATGACTATATTCTGTGTCTTTTGTAGTAGTGATATTAAAAATCACAATATATTCTGCAGCAAAACCAACAATGATTAAATATAATAAAGCGATGAAATGACAAGGATTGTGATTGCTGAGAAAAACAACTGTGACAGTGAATCTTATGTGTCACACTGACTGGGCTGCTGGATGCCCACATAGGTGCTCTGTGAGGGCGTTTCTGGAAGAGGTTAGCCTTTGAATCAGTAGAGGAGTAAAGAAAACTCCCCCTCACCAATGTGATGGGCATGGCCCCATCCGTGGAGGGTCTAAACAGAACAAAAAGGCTGAGGAAGTAAAATTCTTTCTCTCTCTTCCCCGTTTTTTTTTTTTTTTTTTTTTTTTTTTTTTTTTTTGAGATTGAGCTTTGCTCTTGTTGCCCAGGCTGGAGTGCAATGGTCTTGGCTCACTGCAACCTCCACCTCCCAGGTTCAAGCGATCCTCATACCTCAGCCTCCCAAGTAGCTGGGATTACAGGTGCCAGCTACCATACTCAGCTAATTTTTGTATTTTTAGTAGAGACGGGGTTTCACCATGTTGGCCAGGCTAGTCTCGAACTCCTGACCTCAAGTGATCCACCTGCCTTGGCCTCCCAAAGTGCTGGGATTACAGGCATGAGCTCTCTCTCTCCTTGAGCAGGGTCGTTCGTCTCTCTTGTCTTGGGACATCAGAGTTCCCAATTCTTGGGCCTTTTGACCCCCTACCCCAGTTCCCAACCCCGAACTAAATTACACCACTGGCTTCCCTTGTTCTTCAGTTTGCAGATGGCGTATGGTGGGACTTCTCAGACCCCATAATCACATGGAACCTATTCCCATAATAAATCTCTCAAATCAATCTCTATCTCTCTGTGTCTCCCCCTGGCCGTGTGTGTGTGTGTGTGTATATGTGTGTGTGTGTGTGTGTGTGTATATATATATATATACACACACACACAGACACATATATAATATATATATGTATATGTATATATATGTATGTGTGTGTGTGTGTATATATATATATCCTATTTGTTTGGTTTCATTGGAGAACTCTGACTAATACAACAAACAAATAAAAAATCAATTAAGAAGGTAGAAGTCTACTCTTTTATTATATGCTTAACTACCCAGAATAAGAACCAAGCAGTGCTGATTTGTGTAACTTCATGATGGTGGAGGGGATGGGGGACTAGATTTGCTCTAAAATCAACCAGTTTCTGTTGGGTTTTTACGCCCAGATTAATTGTCTGTGTACCTATATCCAGAGATGTGGTAGTGCAGATGCATAGTTCCTACCTGTTGACATTTGCTTTAAACATATCTAGCTTAATCATATGGTTTACTGTGCTCTTCCCTCCCAGTTTTACATAAATTATAATGCATCACATCTGGAGTGACATGGAGAGAATAAACTATATGAGCTCAATAGCTATCGACTGTCTTGACCCCAAACATTTTCCATCGCTACCTACTTTCCTCTAGAATGGATCTATTTAGGCAAACCAAGGCTGACTGGCTGGAGGATTAGAGGCTGCTTCCTCTTTCTTGCAACTAAGGTTTGAACCAGCTGAGTGTCCCTTGGATATCACTGTAATCCATCTTATTTAAGGTGGAGCATTTGATTTCTTCACCACCAGGCCTCCCTTCCACTTCAGGAAATAATCCTCTTTCAATCCCCTGCTCATTGAAATAAAAATACCATCTCATATTAATACCATCTTTCCTGAAGAAGCTCAAATCATTTTTCAGATATTTCTCTAATCCTCACAGCATTCCTATAAGGTAGGTAATGTCCATACAACAACTCTTCTCAACCAAGTCAGAATGATTATGCAAGGGTATTAGGTGCCCATGGGTATTATTGAACTGACTTTCATTTCCCCTAAAAATATATTTACTGGGGATTGAAGCAGTGCATTTATTTGAAAATATATTTATATTTGGGCTTAAGGATAAAAATTTGACTTGGAATAATGACTGTGTTGTCCATAGTATTTTGACACTGATACAGATACATTGCTTCTAGCAAGATACAATATAACTCATTTGGATACTGTGAGTGTAAATTTCTAAATTGGCAGGTATTTATCACATTGAAAATATTAGGGATATTTTATGGATTCTACGAAAGAAAATTGTGGTATAATCATTACATAAAAATCATCTTTTCTGAAAAAAGTTGTGATTATTATAAGGGAAAATAAATTTAAAAATGCTTAGAGTGCTTCATTTGGAGATCAGAGTGCTATATATAATGGCCCAATAATTTGATCTTTAGGCATAATATGTATCTTTCCTAAGACTAAACAATAATATGTGGATTAAAACATTTCAAAAGATTTGAATTGACTAAAGAAAAAATATCTATTAAGTAGAGCATTTGAGGCATGTTCAAAACATATTGTTAGGTAATATCCAAAAGTTAAACCAAAGACAGCCTTTTCTAGTATAGCATAAAGATAATAATTTTAGTAACACACATAGTGCTGGCTATAGATTAGCATTCTCAGCACATTATTTCATTTATTCTTCTAAACAACAACCATTATCCTCTGTCCAGAAGAGAAAATTAAGGCCTCGGTTCAATCACTAACCTAATGCAGTAGACTGTGATTTGAACCCATGCTGTCTAGCTATCGAACTTTCATTCTCTAATCCTACTGCTCTGTATATACTTTTACTGTATACCTAAAGTGTAAGCCTCTCTGTAAGGACAGTGTTTTTAAATTAAGTAATGTTAAGAAAGTGTTATAAAGTGGAAAGAGTTGCTATAGTTGATTGCAGAATATCCTTCCTTTTTGAGGAAGGAAAGCTAGATAAATCCAATGTGCACTGGGTGGACTATTGTTCACAGGGGTGACACTTTCTTCAAAGGCCCCTCAGAGTTCTATCGTGCTGTCCCCATGTAGCTTCTATTGGTGGACAGCTCCACCTCTTCTTGACCTCAGCAAGTGATATCATTATATTCTCAAGGGGAGGACTGGAAGTTCGGATGAATAGTATTAAAAACAAACTAACAAACAAAAACCCCAACTGTCTTTTGTTCCATAATGCGGAAAATGAAAATCTCTGTGAATGGCAATTTAGAAGTAGTAATACTCTAAATGTCCCCTTTAAAATAACAGATCCGTTAAGGATTAGGAACAGCAAAGTTTAACAAATTTAAGTTATAAATAAAAATATTTGTTGACATGATTAAAATATAATTTTCTTTAATAAAATTAAAATAACAGAAGTAGTCATTATTTAATGTGAACTATATTCCAAGTACTGTGTTAGCTCTTCATATGAATGATAAAATATTCCCATAAAGTAGGCACAATTATTAAGTCCATATTTCAGACAAGGTAATTGAGGCTAAGAGAAAGAAAGTACATAGAATCAGTAAGTGGTAGAATCAGTAAGTGAAGAATTCAAAATCAAGCTGTCTATGTTTTAACAACTGTATTATTATACAAATGCTGATACGTTTCTGAAACAAATGAATATTCAGTGTAAGCACACTTAAAATGGTACTTCAAAAAATATGAGCTCAATACAGGTATCAATGTTTATGATGATTTCACTTAAAATTACAATCTCACTCTTGAATATAAATGTAAACATTTTAAATGAAAAATATTAACAAAACTATTACAACAATAAAAAATACATCATGCTCAAGTTAGTTTTATCCCAGAAAGACAGAAATATAAAAATATATTAATATATTTACATATGGAAAATATATTATATTCCATATAAATAGATTAAACGTGGGAAAATATATGATTATGTCAATAAATGCAGAAGATAGTCAATAAGATTCAATATCTATTCATGATTAAACCAGCTTAAAAAGCTAAAAGTGGAAGAGTCCCTACTAAAGATGATAAAGGATATCTATAAAAACCCTACAGCAAATATTGTATTTAATTGTAAAATGTTTAAATGCATTCTTATTAAAGTCAAGGCTGCAATAAAGCTGCTTGCACTAAATATTATACTCAGGGCAATAAGTCAAGAAGCAAAAATAAATATATGGATTAGAAAAAAAGAAATAGAGTTTGATGGAATAATTGTTAACCCCTAAAACTTAAATATCTGCTAGACAAAACATGAGCACAGATAAGAAGGCATAACAAAGTGGCTGGGCATAGGAATAAATACAAATATAAAAGTAATATATGTTTCTATAGTCTAACAGCAAACAAATTACACAATTTTTAAATAACACTTAAAATAGCAACAATATATACAATATTTAGAGATTCCTTTAATAAACGTCTTTAGCAACCTTTTTTGAAACTTGGTAAGCTTCCTTTAAAATTCATAGAAGAGCAAAGGCCCAAAAATATCTGAGACATTTTTGAAGAAAAACAAAGTGTACATGAGACATCAAGACTTATTCAAAACGAGGGAAATTATAGCAATTAAAATGATGTGATAAGAGTTCAAAAATAATAAACTAGATCAAAAGTCCCAAAACACACTAACAAGTATGGAGTGGCATGAGATTACTGATTATGGATCAAAGAGGAAATGATAAATTGTTTCATAAAAGATGCTTGGACAATTGACTACCTCTTTAGAAAACGTGAAACTGGATCCTTACCTCACACCATACACCAAAATCAATTTCAGGTGAAATGAAGACTTAACTCTAAATGGCAAAAACTACAAAAATAAAATAGGAGAAACTGTGTAATGATGGCTTTATGACTTAGGGTAGGGAAAGAATTCTTCAATATAAACCAAAATTCGCCAACCAATAAAGGAAAGAAGTGACCAATCTGACTACATGAAAATTAACAACTCTGTTAAACAAAATGTAGCAGAAATAAAGTGAAAAGCTTATCTATAGTTTGGAAAAATATACCTTAATATAAAAACACATAACCATAGAATATATATATATATGACTTACAAAAGCAAAAAAAAAAAAAAAACTCAAAAAGGAAAATGGAGAAATAATATGAAAAGGTACTTCTCAAAAGAAGAACCCATAATGCCCTTAAATACTAGACAAACATCATTGGTAGTCGAGCTATGTATGTTAAAATCACATGACATGCCATTTTTTATTCACCATATTAGACAAAAATTTGAAAGTCTTCCATAACAACTGCTGCTGAAGATGTGGCATAATGGAAACTTGTAAACCACTCATGGATACATTAATTTTTTAAAAACAAATTTGGAAAACAATTTGGTCTTATCTAAGAAACTCTGTAGGCTCACACCCTGTGAATCACCAGTTCCATATTAGGAATACACTTATATTGCTGCATTTCATTTATATTCATTTTATCATGATCCACCATAAAAATGTACATTACACATATGCATTTAAACACACACGGAAAAAGTTTTAGAAAGTAATATTTATTCTTACTATATGTTATAAACTCTGATATTTTCTGCTGCATTCAATATGATTTTTAAAAAATACTGGTTTTAACTTAGTGAACTGATTTTACAACCCACTACTGGGTCACAACCCACAACTACATTAAAAACAATACAGGTATGAGGATATAGTAAATACGTGTTTGCCTTGGTATATTTCACTTTGTGTGGACCATTTACTGGTAATTATTCTAATTTTCTGTACCTTTAGACATTTTTTTCTTTAAAAAATCAATGTCTCTCTGCAATGGGATAGATTATAAATACAACTTTTAAAATGACCAAAATAAGATATAATCTTTATGCCATACAATTGTGTAAGAGGAGATCTATAGATGACAGAGTGGTGAAATTTTTCTTACTGCAGAAAGTTTCCCTGATGAGCTCGGTTAAGCTAGTGTCCTTCCTGTGGAAATAGGGAAGGTCAAAAATCATCATATCAATATAGAGATGCATAAGAAACCCTAACTACTTAGTGCTGTTATTACTGAAACAAATTTAAGAAGATTTGGGGGATGAGGATATTATAGGGTTAAAAATGTAGGCAACCACTGAGTAGCTAATGACAATAACAAAAATAATATGTATAATAATAATTTAGCAACAAAAAGGTAGAAAAAATAAATATGAGTATTAAACTTTCAAGTCCCTATCTCTCTATAGGTGTCCATTGAGCATGAATGATCGGGGTTGGCCAAAACCACCTATTTTTTGCTTTGTTTTTTAACTTTTGTTTTAAGTTCAGGGTACATGTGCAGGTTTGTTACATAGGTAAACCTGTGTCATGGGGGTTTGTTGTACAAAAGCCCATCCAAACGGTTGAAGGAAAGAGTTGAATAGATCTGTGTGAGTAACCAGTAGGGGATCCAGAGTGGCTATGTCTGAGATGACAGGTCACTCAATACCCATTAGTGAATGCCTGCTAAGGAAAAGATACTGTGCTAGGCTTTGAGAACACAAGGACAAATCCGGTGTCCATGAGAGGTGTGGCAGTGAAAAGAGACTCTCCAAGAATAATTCTAACATGAAGGCTAACTATACGGATGCATACTGCTTATGATGGGAAGGATATTCACACTATAGCCGGGGGGCCAGAGACAGTTACTAGGAGGGATGATGGATGCCTGAGCTGGGTTTTAAAGGAGAAGCAACATGGGATCTTGCTGTTGGAAGATCCAGGCCAATCTCAGAAGAGGCTTGCAAATGTAAACAAATGATGCACCCGCCTGGATTGGATGGAGGCTTCCACCGTCTGCGGCTCCCGGAAGTCTAGAGACATTCCTCTGACAACTTTATTTCCAATGCCCTTGTCATGTATTTATGCATCTTGTACTAAGTCAACCAAAACTGAGATTCCGTGAGCTATTAATGACTTAGACACACTTTTCACGTAGTTTGTTTTTTTAATGTGTTTTCAACATTAATTGATTTTTTTCCCCTATATCCTTGAACTAAGTTTGCTAGCAAATTTAATACTGTTTCTGGGTTTAGATATAGTCAAGACCTCGTTGCAGGCATGGTAGATAAGGAAAGGGGTGGGAAAAAGTATATGCCAGCATAGGCAAATTTCTAAGCCACTGGTCTGGCAGACAGCCTGTGGGTATCACATAGCACGTAACCTTTCTATGTGATTAGAACTTTGCATGGGAGCTGTCCATGTCACTTGCCCTTCCTTCAAGTGACGACTCTAAAATTAGTTAGTTACTCCATGAATACTGAGAACTGCCATGGTACAGCAACTCTGAATCCTGTGTTTAAGAAGTGCCCAGATTCCAGCAGGCACTTGCCGTTGATAAGGCAGGCATAGTAATCAATTATAGGTATCTGCTGAGTTTCTCTCATCAGCAAAGACAGTCTTTTTTGACCTTGCAATGCAAACACATCATCTCTTATCTTCAGATCCTGGGGAGAATTTCCGGCTCACTGCAAAATCTTAACTTCAACGAAATTATATTTCTTCTAAATTAATTACTATAAAACAGTGAATTACCCAGTCTGGATTTAGAATCTAAAGTTTAGACAGTTTATTTTTGCTTGTCTATGGCTGACTCTCGGAAACTTGGTCTTTGAGCTTGCTCCAGCCCCATCTGCAAAGAGCAGACACAATTCCTGTTGCTCCATGGAGAGCTGATTCCAATCACTGGGAAGAAAAATAAAAATGCTAGTTGCAGTCAGAAAAATTTTATTTTGAACCGTGCCCTTTACTCTTGGAAAAAAAATGCACTGCTCACTTTTCTGGTAAAACAATTTGGCATCTACTCTGTATTTGAAACTGAATATACATAAATTTGTGTGGTTATGGAGTATATACTGAATTTCAGAGTTAATTATTCACATCCTGAAGCTCATTTTTCAGAACAAAGTATATGAAATATATTTTGTTTTATGATAGAATATGTATATATTTTTAATAGTTTAAGCCAATATGTGTTATCTAACACTGCAAGTGATTCTTACATGTAATACTAAGAGCTATGAATATGCATTACTTATTTATGGCATAAAAAACTATTGTTGTACTATATAATTTATTATTATTTTAAAATACCAAATTAATAAATAAATCCATGTTTTAACAAGCAATTTATAAAATTCTTCAAATAAATGAAAAGTATCATTCACATTATGTAAAAAAAAACACATTGAAAATGCATAGAAAGTGCCAGTTAACTTAAGTTGTGCCATTCTGCTGCTTTTTCTCTCAATCACATAAATAGGTAGCATCTTAAATGAAAGACACATGAGCTGCTGGTGTGTTTAAATAATACCAACCTATTTGTCATAATAAATAAAGAAAGGCAAAGTACTTCAAACCAGGCCTACTTGCTTTATACTGCATGGATAACTTAGGCACTGGAGGGATCATTTGCAAATGTTTAGTCTATCAGAAGCATCGTTAGGTTACCCTCCTCAGCAGCATGCAGAGTAAACTAACCAATGTATACCCAGACTGCAGGTGTTGATTAGACATTTGTGCCCAAAATGAGAATCACCAAACACTGCTACTGCTAAATTGGCTCTATTTTACTCTAGATATAGAGTTAACGAATTCTGTGGGGACCAAGAGATTCGTAAATTTCAAATTTAAGTAAAAAAATACCAGTAGGAAAAAGTCAAAAAAATTAACTAAAAAAAAAAACAACCAAACACCTGAAAATTCAAGGACCAGATATTCACTTTTAGACCAGCTATCACAAGTTTTATACCAATAGATTAATATATTAAATTAAAAATTAGATTAAAACTCAACATTCTTATTAATTATTATCTAAATTAGTATGCCATGGAAACATTTTTCTCTTCTTAGCTTCCATAATGAGATTTGCATCTATTCTTATAGAATCATGAAACAATACATTTCCATCATGAAATATTTGTGAAATATTTTCCCCAAGTTACCTTGTTTTTCAGTAACAGTACTCATTGTCCAAAGATCTTAGCTTTCCAGTTTTGATAAGGAAACACATTAGTATTTTAATTACAGTGAAAGAAGAGATACAACAGCTGATACATTCATAAGGCTGCCTGTGACCAATAATATGCACCATGGAAGAGAGGCTGGTATTGTGGTTGAGCCCATACATGCAAATATTTACAATGAGAAAAGGTTGCTGTGAGGTAGGTGGATCCTTTCTCCTTTTCTTATCCTTTCTCTGAATGTTCTAGATTTGCCCCAGGCTGAAAAGTTTGGGAGACATTACTGTAGATTATTTACCAAAAACACAGGATAATTGGGAACTAACCAATGAGGAAATCCTTATGTATTGCTCCCTGGCATGCCTCTAGCTCCCACCCAAGGAAGAGCATCTTTGCCAAGGCCAAACATACATACTCACAACTACTAATTACTGAGTGCTTTTCACAGGTAGGAAATTCTCCCAATTCAATCTAATGTAAACTAAAAAGAGCATTTGCTTTTCCTTTTTTAATATACTTTTCGAAATATGTCACTCCTCTTCTTTCTAAACCACAGTGTTACTGAATTGTCTCCACCTAGATTGATTCCACTCCACATGGCTATAGTGTCTCTTCAAGTCTAAGCTAAAGAACAATATTGGCTGGGTATGGTGTCTCACACCTATAATCCCATCATTTTGGGAGGCCAAGACAGGAGGATTGCTTGAAGCCAGGAGTTTAAGACCTCAAGCATTCCTCCTGTCTTGGACCTGTGCAATATAGCAAAGATCTTTGATCTCTGCTCAGTTTAGGACCTGTGCAACATAGCAAGATGCTTTCTCTACAAAAATAAAAATAAAAAATAAAAAATTAGCTGGTGGTAGTGCATGTCTGTTGTCCCAGCTACTCAGGAGGCTGAGGTGGGAGAATTGCTGGAGCCCAGGAGTTTGAGGCTGCAGTAAGCTATGATTATGTCACTGCACTCTACCCTAAGTGGCAGAATGAAACCCCATCCCACCATCTCACACACACACACACACACACACACACACAAAAAAAAAAAAAAAAAAAAAAAAAAAAAAGGAGGAGGAGGAGGAAGAAAAGAAAGAAGGAAAAAAAGAAAATAAAAATCTTCATAACTTGGGGACCAAATAAGATTTTGTGGAGGATTCCTATTCCTTAATCCTTTGGGGAGAACCTTATATCCAAAAGAATTGGCACCTTGCTTCCCAGAATTGCTAGAGAAATACTGCCTGTTTTCTTATCTTCAATGTAAATGATCTGTTTTTGCTTTTATAAGCTCCCTCTTCATCCTTTTGACTGGAATGAAGAGCAGCGACAGGTTTAAGTTCGGCAAGCCACAAAAACAATACAGGCAGAGTGACTGAATGTGTTTAAACAAAAGAAAGCAAAGCCCACTAAGTGGACATAACAAAGACAGAGCTAGAGGTGGAGAGGCCAGACAGAACTAGGAAGCAGAGGCCAAAAATGCTGGTATTGACTGTTTCTGGATCCAAGAAAAGGCGAGTGGTTTTTGTTTCATTCTCAGTGTTTTGTGTGTTTCTTCTACAGGCAGGTGAGAGTAGTGTGAATGGGGGTTGCGGCACACACTGGAGTAGAGCAGAGGAGATGGAGTAGATACCATGAAGAACATATTTTAGAGAAATGATTTCTAGATGAAAAAATATATGCCCAGGCATAAAGCCAAAAAATCAAATAAGAACCAAGGTTAGGAGGCCATCTAGTTTTGGTATTCCTGTTCTTTCCATTTTATTTGTTTTGGAAATGTGCTCAAGAGTAAGAAGTGCTTTTACACAGAGTCCTGAGACACAGGTCCACTTTCAGTGCAGTCTGTGTGGCCGCCTGCCTGCGAGTTATAATATACACATACTAACCTCATGGGCATAGAGAGAAATCAGTTGCCTGCTTTTGTACAGCACTTTGGCACTTGCAGAAAGGTGTAGGTAAACAAATATTATCATTATAATTACGTGCTATAAGTGCCAAGGCAGTCTCCCAGAGTAAAAAAAGAAGGGTTTTGGCCTCAGATAAAATTGGGTTTAAATCCAGATTTTTCTACTAATGTCTGAGTTTCTTCAAGAAAATTTTTCATTCTGTTTATAAACCTGTTTCTTTTCAACTCTAAAATGAGAATAGGAATAGGATGAAATAAGAGATACGTATGTAAAGTGCCTGCCTTGCAGGTGCTCAGAATGGGCAGATTTTCTGTTATTATTGTCATTAGTCATTCTGGATAGGAAAGATCAGTGAATAATTAAGATATTTTTTCTTTATCAAAATGGTATTTTTATAGAATAATTGATGGATAGCAGACGTTGTGTACAGTACAAAATAGTTCATTCTGAAGTTACAGTGGCAATGCATCTGTCTGGAGACATAATTTTTCCTACTTTTGTCTGTTTGACATTTTACCATTCTTCAGGGAGGAAACACTTCGCCAGGGATTCCATTGTTCCTGGGAATGCAGTTTCCAGTGGTATTTTTTAGCAACTCAAAGATCAGGCATGTGTACAAAACCCACCATCAATAACAGAGCTGGTACTACACAGGAAGTCCTTAAAAATAAGATTTACAGTCTTCAACTCTTGGAGTGGTTCTAATCATGTAGCTCATTTTATACTTCATGATTCAATTCATCTTAATAAGCATAAAAAAGTAAAACCATAAAATAAAATTAGTTATTTTCCAGTCCTGATTAAACACTCCTAGCCTTCTTCTTCTTCGTCTTTTTTTTTTTTTTTTTTTTTTGAGGCAGAGTCTCACTCTGTCTCCAGGCTGGAGTGCAGTGGCGCAATCTCGGCTCACAGCAACCTCTGCTTCCTGGGTTCAAGAGACTGCCCTGCCTCAGCCTCCCAAGTAGCTGGGACTACAGGCACGCACCGCCTTCCCTGGCTAAGTTTTTTGTATTTTAGTAGAAATGGGGTTCCATGTTGATCAGGATCGTCTCCATCTCCTGACCTCGTGATCCACCTGCTTCGGCCTCCCAAAGTGCTGGGATTGCAGGCATGAGCCACTGCGCCTGGAAAACACCTCTAGCCTTCTTAAGGGGCATGCCAAAATCTGTGGGTAAGGAGTATCGTAGTTTAGCTATGTGTACCCAGAAGCTTTCAGGTAGCTCCTAGGATATTGCTACTGCAAGCTCATGATGGTGTGAGCCTTCAGTGGTATGTGTTCATTTACAACTTTGCCCCATGCTAGGAGGCTGTGGACATGTGAAAATGATCACATAGGAGTTTGTATGTTCCCTTGCTTTGTTATATTGAACACTTCCTGCACAGTTCTCATCTATAAAGTAGGAATAATAATAACTACTTTATAGAAGAATTAAGGGATATGACATACGTAATGTTCTTGGCATATGTCTAGCACATATTGGGTGTTTCACAGATATTGATCTCCTTTCTCCCAGTTTCTCAATCTCTCCAATATCCCACAATCTTGTTATTAGAGTTTAGACAATTTCAAGGGATCTCATTGTAGGTAACATGTTTCTCATCAATGACATATATTAATTTTTATAGATTTCAAATATCTTTCAAAACTCTTAAGATTTCATCTATCTTGCCTATCTTCTGTACCATTTTATTTAATTAATATTGATAATGGATAATGTCCTTGCCTGCTAATTCCAGTTTCTGAATAATCTGTGGGTGTGCTTTTATTTGTCTTGATTATTAGTCCAGATGATGCTATCCCGCCATTCCCCCAGAGGGTTATACTTTTCTCTGTTAGAGATGCAGAACTTAGACACCTCAATCCCAAGGATGGATCCTGGCTTGGGCTTTTATTGATTTAGTTTAACTCAATCCATGTCTGCTTCATTCCCATTCCTCAGACGTGGCCTCCCAGACCTTTGATTGAGAGGCAAGTAGATTCTCGTCCACTGAACTCTGAAAGACTACAGGAGATTAAGTCATGCCTTCAGAATTTTGAATTTAGCTCTTTTGGCTAATACCTCACACAGCTTCAAATTTCTGGAGTCTTAACAGGGAACCTGGGGCATGTTTGTGTCAGGTCACCTCAATAGGATGTTGTTTTCTAATTACTGCTGGAGTTCCTCATCCTCTCCTTCCAATCCAGAACACAGCAAATGCTTCCTGGGAGAAACTGGCTTTTTGTTTGCAAGTCCTTTAGATTATTCTCCATCACAACAACCCACTGGACCACCAAAGGTTCCAGTGTTTTGTCTATGTTTGCCTAGACCAGACCCCATCTTTGACCCATACCTTGAATCTGCAAATGCCCTCAGGAAAGAAAATAACTATCAACTCGCAGGTCACATAGTAAAGGCTCTTTCCTTTTGGAGTGTCATTTCCTCTAGTCTTTGTTGCTTCTATAGCTTTTCATTGTCTTTAAAAATTTGCTTTTACTGTGAAGTATCCATTTTCTCTAGTTGTTGACATGGCTTGATATATTATACCCGGGAAAGGGAATCTCGAAGTCTGAGTCTGTGCTGCGGAAATGGTTCGCTTGTCTAGCAGCTCTTCATAAGGACTGTCTCTAAAATCTCTTTTGTTCTTCCTGCAGAAAAGAAAAGGGGGTCTAAAAGAGCAGATCCAGAACTGAGCTGCTTGGAAGGAGTTACAAACTGAATGTAGGATTCGTTTCAGAGGACTATGCTTATCAGGATGAGTATCTTAAGAACGACAAGGAGGAAGTTTAAAAGGCTAGACCTTTAGGCCACAGTTATACTTCAGCACAGCCAATTCAGTAGGTATTCAAATCAACAGGTGCTCATTGGGTGGTGATAATCTGCAATTACTCAACCAACAGCCTTACATTTAAACATATTCCAAGTTTAAATTTTACTAGCCATGGACATCATAGCTAAGACTGAGTTTTACAGTAAGTCTAGAAGTAGATTGATTTCAAAATAGAGGTGCACACAATAAGAGCTGGATGTGAGAGCTGGTCCTTTCAAAACATCATTGCTGCTGGTTGTTAACTATGCATTATAGCTTTTTTTTCCAAACACAAAATAGAAACAATAATGGTACCTGCCTCTTAGGATAATTTTGGTAACTAAATTACTTTATATATAAATGCTTAGAAGAATCCCTACCAAATAGCAAATTGCTATGTGTGCTTACTGTCATTATCATCACCAATATTAGCATCATCAAAAATTAATGTGATATAGTCACCAGATTTTGTTTCACCAGCCTCAACAGACTTGCGTTATGATGTATGGTAGGCTGTTTTCTGTCACTGTAAGAGAATATCTGCAATTGAGTAATTTATAAAAGAAAGAGATTTATTTAGCTGACTAATTTGCTCCTGTGATAACGAAACCCTTCCCTTGAGAACTAACCTAGTTTCACCAGAAAGTCATTGATGCATCTTAATGACCTAATCACCTCTCAAAAGTACCACCTCTGAATACTGCTCAATTGGAGACCAAGCCTCAACAAAAGTTTTGGTGGGGATAACCCATATTCAAACCATAGCACCCATGTTTGTCTGTTTGTTATATTGGTAAATCCTTTAATTACATTCTTTTATATTCTAATCAGAAAAATGCATATAATCATTTATTCTTATTTCTACAACAAATATTCATTGTTCATTTCTACAATAGAAAATCAGTATATTAATCAAAATACTGTTCAATAGGTTTGTCTTTCAAGGTCTGGTGATTTCCCTTTACTTACTCCAATGAAATGATCATTTACAGTGGCGAGGATGCTGAAACTATTGGCAGAATGGATCATATATGTCAAACATGACAAAGGAAACATACACATTTTTTTTAGTATGGAAAAACATCATCAACTGAAGAGCTTGTCCTACTGCTCATCAAAACAAGAGATACTGAAATGGGAATAGTTGTAGTAGTCTCAGTGGCAGTATTTAAAAATTATACTTGGATTGCCAATTATTTTTATATATTTTAAGAAATAATTCATACAAGTAAATTTAATTTTCCCGATTTTATCTCTTCAGTTTCAAAGGCATATGCTAAGGACATGCTTTACTGAGCTGTTGAATGAGGAATCATATCATTTGTTGTCCTTGAATTCTCTAAATTCTTGTAGAAAGAAAATACAGAGTAGCGAAAGCATATTTCTGATTGTGCCAATGGCTTATTCCAGTAATGTAACTGGAAACTCAAAGGCAGGAAACATCATTTGTTGTTTGCTAAGGCAACAAATGGTGCTTCCCAAAGCAAGCAAGGCAACAAATGATGTTTCCCATAACAAGCCTGTGCATTTATTTGCAAATGGACTATTATGGATAGAACATGTCCTCATCTTTGGCTCAGCATGTTCACAGAATATCAAAGAATCAGGCAAATGAGCTGGTACATATATTTTCTGGGTCATAGATATGGACCTACATAGCTGACTAAAAATTGTATATACTGCGCAGACAACCATTCTCATTGAGGTGAAGCATTCATGTTCAATTTTTCCGAGGTCGACTCACTTCAAGCATAATACTGAGAACTAAATCCATCTCTTTACATACCTCGTTATCTATATTAATATGGATTTACTTTGCAGGAATAATATCGGTCTGCTTAAGGAACTTTCTACAAATCAATTCAGCTCTGATGCCCATAGAACTAAGATGAGAACATAGAAAAGTAGAGGGACTTCATGCTTAGTTTAAAAGTCTGAAAATATAACGGAAAATAATAATTTCAATCTAAATAAAAATAAAAGTTCACCTTCACTTTTATAACTACTTAAAAATAAGCTAAAGAAATGAATTTTAACCCTAATCCACATGAATTAAAAGTACATATGATTAAATGACTTCAAGTCAGAAACCTGTGTCAAAATATGAGTCACACCTAGAATCACAATTCCCATTTCCATTGTTCTCATTAAAATTCACTTTACTAAAGAAAATTAAAGGTGTGTATTATTTCTTTCCTTCCCATTAAGGGTAATAGTATCTATCAAATGATTTAATATGTTTCAAAAATTTAAATTTTTTAAAATAGACTATTTTATGTGGAAGAACTTTAAAGTTGTAAGTCAAAAGAAAAACATCTCAACAAAGGTCTGAAATACAAATGTGTGATATTTTAAAGGTAGCTAAGGATTTAAGTTAGGGAAAGAAGAACTTACGTGAAGAGACCTATGAGGAATCTGCGTACTGAAAGACCCACATACTCAAGTGTCCTTTCCCCTACAAAAAAGTCATGTTCTCTGCTGGGCATCTCAGGGTAGCAAGATGTTAAGCTCATCGGTTAACAGCAGAGAGTCAAATGGGAAACATCTCCAGTATGTCAGGAGACAAGTGTTATTATGTAAGTTTTTACACTTTTCTAAAAAAGGTGGTGAGAAACAAGTATACCATTGAAATTTCAAGACAAAAAAGGCCAAGTTACGGAATAAGAGATGCATAATTCCCAGCTGGGATAAACCTTTAAAATAATTCAAAATTATTTGTTTTGTACACATACCATATTCACACACTGGAATAAATAAGCATTTTTGATAATATCCTTTGTCACTCATGGACTGTTTCTGCTTCCCTTGTGACTTTACTCTTTCAGAGTAAAAAGTCATTCATGGCTAAATGTGTTCCTACAGTTAACTCTAGTGAGATAATATGGATAAATGATATCCACAGTTACCATCAAAGCTTTATGTTAAATAATATATCAATTTTTTAATTGCCCCGAAAGAGAAAACTGACAGATTCTTCTTGTTTTCTGTAACCCTTCATTTTACATTTCCAGGGCTGAAGAACTAGCAGACAAGAAAGAGACAGAAAGAAGAGGGAGACAGAGACAGAGAGAGATAGAGAGAGACAGAAACAGAGAAAGAGATTTCTTGACTGTTTAGAGTCCTCTTAAACCACAATATTTATAACATGCCTAAATCTAGTACTTATGGAAAAGATACTATACACTTAGAAAACACATTTTTGAGCCTCAGTAAGCCATACCAATAATTAGATATGATTTTGAAAATTAATGAGTCAGAATCACATCCTTGGTAATTAGGTCACCTCGGATGAAAATCTGACTTCATTCTTGTTCACTGTAACAGTAACCTTTCGCTCCCCCTCCATCCCAGAAGGCAACAAAATGATTCAACCTTACTAAAATCTCACCTCCTGTAATCCATTATATCTTAACTTACACATTAAGATTTTAAAACCTCCATCTGGTGGACATAACTTGACCTCTTTTGATTTATAGGCAACCTGTTTTCCCAGGTAAGCAAATTCATTTTTCCTCTGACCACCTGGCTGAGGCAGTAACAGCTGAGGCAAGCCTGCTCTCTAGTGAGCTATAACTGCTCTGCCAACATGCCATTAAGAGGGAGGAATCCAGGATGATTTAATGTCTATGAAATTAGAGCTTAAGCTACTTTGGAAACCAGAGGCTTACTAAACGACTCCTGATCCCTAATCAATGGTATGATCTGAAACAATAGCTCCATCAGCAGTGGAGAATTCTTTCTTCTTGCCTGAGTTACAGGGATTCATAGTGCTCATGATTATTAAGTGAGACGTAAAAGGAAAATTTCAATTACAGCAAAGGTTAAGATAGATGATATTCTGGGCCAGGGTTTCTCAAAGTGTGGCCTGCTAGCCATTTCCATCAGCGCCACCTGGCGTTGGGGTGAAGAGGGTGTCCCTTGAGTAAATCAACTTCCTGGGACCACTCCCTCTTCTTCCCTTCACTGGCGATTCTGAAAGTGATCTTATAGATATCTCTGTATATTCGGCCTTCCCCTTAAGATGAAAATGTACCACTTATATAAGGCTGTGCGAGGGGAACAACAGGGGACATTTAGGAAATTGCCATTTCTTTCTGTTTTCATTTCTGTGCAGTTTTAAAAGAAATGTGAGGACATTCAATTTCACAAGATGGATGAATAATGACAATATCCAACTTTACATGAACCCCGTGTTCCTGGAAAACAGTGATGGTTATGATATCTCCCCGTCCTTCCTTCCCTTCCCAAAATACCTCCACGCCTTTGTGTTCCCAGAAATGGCTGTCAGGGCATGCTCTGGTCTAGCATATTCCCAGCTCTGCCCTTCCTCAGTGGCTTCCATGAGAGGCATCTCCATTCTTCTCCATGACTCCATTACGACTCTGGATGATCCTCTTGTCTATCTGCCTCTATAAAACTGCAGCCCTCTGCCTTTTCAGCCCCTTCCTCTACCCCCCCTTTTTTTTTTTTTTTTTTGAGATTCTCTGAATTAATAAATGTTCTTATTGCGGCAGGCTAATAAAATCCTGTCTTGTGCATTTTAGCTTTTACAAAAGCAAGCCTAATAGTTTTTCTTACAAATACCTATTTATAAGAGAACACATGGCTGATGGTAAACACGAGTCACAGATTCAGCAAAAACAAGAGCCAAGCAGTACACCCTATTTGTGACTATGTTACTTTCTTGTGATTGTAACTGTGGCATGTGTAGTCAGACTTGCATTTTTTTCAAAAACCATTTTTGGCAACAGTATAAAAGATGTTTTGAAGCGATGAGACAATATCTGAGAGACCAAGGCAGAAGCAATTGAATTTCCAAACTAAGACAATGATGGTACCACTAAAGCGAAAAGAAGGCTTTTAGAGAGAGTTAAGTGTTAGAAACTCCAGGATTTTATCAACCATTGAATGTGGGAATGAAGAAAAGGTAAGGTCAAGGATGACAAAGGGATCATGTCTTTAGAGGCACTGAGCTGAACAATGCAGGGAGTGTCAACTTTAGTGGAATTAATTTATTTTTGAGTGTATTTATACCCAACTTAAAAAATTAAGCAATTTAATGTGACATATAAATACAGAATATAATCACAAAATGTGCAAAGTAAGACAAGTAAGGAAATTAGAATATAAGTACAGGAAAAATAGCAGGAAGCTTGGAGTGAGGTTGATAAACAACATGCGTACTCTAGGTCATATACATTAACCGCACATTTGGTTCTGAGCTTTCTGGCAGCCAGTGCAAAGAAGGGAGAACAAAATCAGCTTCTGAGACCAATTACTTTTCTGCCTAGAAGGAAAATTACTTAGGAAACTAAATATTGAATGACTGAGAGGTTTCTTTTAAACATGTTGAGTTTGAAGCTCTGAAGCAATTTAGACAGAATATTAGTTTAAAAAAATAAAGAATTATTGTTTCAACTTAATAGTTTAACATGCTGACAACTTAAAATTACCATAAGGATTGGATAGATGGAAGCCAAAATTCCTGTGTTATGACAGAGGGAAGAGTCTGGAAAAGGAATATTGTTTAATGCTGTAATTATTTTTAAATTTGACTGTACCAATTTAAAGTTGAAGCAGATTATTTTTGATAGTCTAAAAATCTAAGTTTCTCTGTATGTTTTTTAACCCCAGGAAATTGCCTAATAAATATTTAGAATATAATCTAGTTTAAAAAAAGAGAATTAGACCTACAGGTTTTCTTTATAAATTATTATTTTATGATTCCTATTACTTTCGAGGGTTAGAAAAAATGTAATATGTGAATTTAATCAATTTTTTGGCAAGGAGCATGGGCAGGAGGTCATTTTAGGAGGTATATCAATCATTTTAAAACTCAAAGTTTTATGAACCTCATTGTAGCACATTATACTAAAAGGATTAAATATGTCTGTCATCAGGAGAAGTAGGAAACTTTGCTGTATTGACAAGTTGTAGCCTAATGGAAGACTTAATAGAGTAAAAATAAATTATTTTAAAGTTTTTGTGATAAATTGCTACCTAGATTACACTTCCAAATGTTTTTTTAAAAATTAGAGTGATCTTTCTTTTAATTACTTAAAAACTCTTTGAGGTAAAAGGAGGGAGAGAGCAGGAAAGAAAAGTTAACTGCTGTATATTGGATACATGCTGTGGGCCAGGCAGGGTACAGGTATTACATGCCTTTCAATGAGGGAGCTTACACTGTAAGGTTCTACCATTTTTTTAAAAAGTTTTTTATTTCCATAGGTTATTGGGGAACAGCTGGTATTTGGTTACATGAGTAAGTTCTTTAGTGGTGATTTGTGAGATTTTGGTGCATTCATCACCCGAGCAGTATACATTGCACCATATTTGCAGTCTTTTATCCCTCGGCCCCTTCCCACTCTTTTCCATTAAGTCCTCAAAGTCCACTGTGTCATTCTTATGCCTTTGCATCCCCACAGCTTAGCTCCCACTTATGAGTGAGAACATACGATGTTTGCTTTTCCATTCCCAAGTTACTTCACTTAGAATAATAGTCTCCAATCTCTTTCAGGTCACTGCAAATGCCATTAATTAATTCCTTGTTATGGCTAAGTAGTATTCCATCGTATATATTTATACTACAGTTTTTAGCCACTCATTGATTGATGGGCATTTTGGGTGGTTTCACAATTTTGCAATTGCAAATTGTGCTGCTATAAACATGCATGTGCAAGTATCTTTTTCACATAATGACTTCTTTTCCTCTGGGTAGATACCCAGAAGTCGGATTGCTGGATCAAATGATAGTTTTAGTTTTAGTTTTTTACGGAATATCCACACTGTTTTCCATAGTGGTTGTACTAGTTTACATTCCCACCAGCAGTGTAGAAGTGTTCCCTGTTCACTGCATCCACACCAATGTCTATTATTTTTTGATTTTTTATTATGGCCATTCTTGCAGGAATAAGGTGATATCATCCTTTACGATTAAAACTCTCAGCAAAATCAGCATACAAGGGACATACTTCAATGTAACAAAAGCCATCTATGACAAACCCACAGCCAACATAACACTGAATGGGGAAAAGTTGAAAGCATTCTCTCTGAGACCTGGAACAAGACAAAGATGCCCACTCTCACCACTTCTCTTCAACATAGTACTGGAAGTCCAAGCCAGAGCAATCAGACAAGAGAAAGAAATAAAGTGCATCCAAATCGGTAAAGAGGAATTCAAACTGTTGCTGTTTGCTGATGATATGATTGTATACAGAGAAAACCTTAAAAACTCCTCCAGAAAGCTCCTACAACTGATAAAATAATTCAGCAAAGTTTCTGGATAAAACATTAATGTACACAAATCAGTAGCTCTTCTATATACCAACAGCACCAAGCTGAGAATCAAATCAAGAACTCAACCCCTTTTACAATAGCTACAAATAAATAAATAAATAAATAAATAACTTAGGAATGTACCTAACCAAGGAATTGAAAGACCTCTACAAGGGAAACTACAAAACACTACTGAAAGAAATCATAGACAATACAAACAAATGGAAACACATCCCATGCTCATGGATAGGTAGGATCAATATTGTGAAAATGACCATACTCCCAAAAGCAATCTACAAATTAACGCAGCTACCATCGAAATACCACCATCATTCTTCACAGAAACTATAAAAGATCCTGAAAATAATATGGAACCAAAAAATAGCCTGTGTAGCCAAAGCAAGACTAGGCAAAAAGAACAAATCTGAAGGCATCACATTACCTGATTTCAAACTATACTATAAGGCCATACTCACCAAAACAGCATGGTACTGGTATGAAAATAGGCACATAGGCCAATAGAACAGAATAGAGAACCCACAAATAAAACCAAATACTTACAGCCAACTGATCGGCAAAGCAAACCAGAACATCAAGTGGGGAAAGGACACCCTATTCAACAAATGGTGCTGGGATAATTGGCAAGTCATATGTAGGAGAATGAAATTGGATCCTCATCTCTCACCTTATATAAAAATCAACTCAAGATGGATCAAGAACTTAAATCTAAGACCTGAAACTATAAAAATTCTAGAAGATAACATTGGAAAACCCTTCTAGACATTGGCTTAGGCAAGGATTTCATGGCCAAGAACCCAAAAGCAAATGCAAGAAAAATAAGATAAATAGCTGGGACTTAATTAAACTAAAGAGATTTTGCCTGGCAAAAGGAACAGTCAGCAGAGTAAACAGACAACCCACAGAGTGGGAGAAAATCTTCACAATCTATACATCTGACAAGGACTAATATACAGAATCTACAACAAACTCAAACAAATTAGCAAGAAAAAAACAAACGATCCCACCAAAAAGTGGGCTGAGGACATGAATAGACAATTCTCAAAAGAAGATATACAAATGGCCAACAAACATATGGAAAAATGCTCAACATCACTAATGATCAGGGAAATGCAAATCAAAGGTTCTAGCAATTATAAATGAGAACACCCAAGCTCAAAGACCTTCAGGGCTCTGCTTTAGGATCGATCGTTAGCAACCTTAAGAACGGGGACTGAAATTTAGGTGTGCTAATCTCAAACCAGTGTTCTTGACTCTACAATGTAAGAAAAACATTAAAATGTCCCTTTTTTTGCATTTCTGTCTCAAACTGGCAAGCTTGAGGATTTCATCAGAAAGCAAAATATTACCAATTCAAAAATATACCAATATTATCTTTAAAATATTAAATTTTATATGGCAATATGATAAATGAAAGTAAAAGAAAAGAAATATGTGAAACTCATATATTTATTTAAATATTTTACAATAATTTACTGAATGACAGTCACCTTACTTCAGGCCAAAAAAGCACAGAGATACAAAAGACATGACAATATCCCTGAACTCAATTTTGAGTTTAAAGTCAAAATTGGTCAACGTATGAAAAATCGAGGCAGTGTGTTCTTTTCTATCATGATTATCTAAACCTAACTTCTGCATGTGAAATGGAAATATGATATTTTACAAACTTACGTATTTAACCTTTTCTTTGTAAAAATGCTTTTAACTTGAAAGGTGAGAGAATTGTGTGGAGGTTAAGAGCATGGATTTTGGAGTCAGCCAGGTGTGAATTTACATCTCTGTTCTACCCCTTCCTGGTTGGTTGTTACTGACACTAAGATGGCTCACCTGTAGATGGGGTTATCAGTCTTAAATGAGATGATGGGGAGCAATGATTAGCAAAGAGCCCGCACACAGTGATCATTTTCTAATCTGCAGTGGTGGTAGTGGTGGTGGTTTTAGTACTAGCAGCAGTTTGTAAAGTCCTAATGAAAAAGTTGCAAATATCTCTCATTCGGCACTAGAATAAATCAAGAATCTGGGCTGCAAATTTGGCTTCCGATTTTCTCAGTCTTTCTTCACTCATATCCATTTCTCTCCTATGTCTTTGCCCACCTTTATATTTTTCCCTAGAACATATAAAAATATACAACCTCATGAGATAATATATGCTCAATGTATGATAGTAAATAATAATCAAATATAAATTATGTATTATTGAGGTTCAGAAAATGATACCCTAAAATATGCCATTTGGAATTAAAACTGAGAACACCTGCGGAGCTGCAAATGCAGGGAAGAGCTTTCGCTAAAGTTCTCCTACTTGCCTAAAAGCTAGATCCCCAGGAGATGTTCAATGGTTGTGAATTGCTTCTCAAGATATCTCATCAATGGAAGGAAGTTGATACACAGTGCAGGAAGGCAGACTAGAGTAGTCACCACACCTCAGAGCCAGAGGAACTTGGTCCCAGGATACATTGTCTGTTCTTCTGGCTCATTCACCTCCTCTAAAACTCATGTACTCTTCCTCTACAATTGCCTACACCCTCAACATCCCTATTCTTATGAAGAGAGTATGTAAGCATCAACCATCTGGCCCTTCTTTCAGTCTCATACTTTGTGTGATTCCCATGTGCTTGCATTTTAACAAATTTATATGCCTTTTCTCCTATTCATCTGTCTATTGCCAGTTTGTTTTATAGACTCAAATGTTTGAACCCTCAGGGGGTAGAAGTTCCTTTCACCCCTAATATATACATACATACATATATACACACACACACATACACACACACATATATAGAGAGAGAATTTCTCCTAAATTTCTATTTGTCCTATGTTGCTGTGTATCTCTTAATCTAGTTTGTCTTATCTTTCTTACTCATGTGTAAGTTCTTAGAGAGTAGGCATTGAAATCATCTTACTTTGGTGCAGAACTTGATAGTTCTACTTGCTACCTTATGTACTTGAGCAGGTAATTAATTTTTCTTCCTTGGACTAAAGATACATTCAAGTTTATCTTATTATATGTTTTAAGATCACAGCATATGAAAACAGGGCAGATCATTAACAATGGTTAAATAGTAAAACCTTAAAAAAAGACTAATATGTAATTATTTTGGCATCATTTTCCTTCTATTTTTCTACTGGCTGTTTCTTCTTCCTCCTGGCTGTCTCCCCCATTTCAAGGACCAGCACACCCTGACTTCGTTTTACTATGTGTGTGAAGTATTTTTAGCTTTCAAGAAAATGTTGTCTTATTTGAAACCCATAGTGGAAAAGAGACATAAAGAAAACCAAGGTTCAGAAATTAAATCATCAGTCACTCAGCTATCAAGGAGCAGAGTAGCAATTAAACTCTTTAATAATTGAAAATTATTTCACTCTTCATGCATTATTTTCTCTTAGCTATTTTTTTAAACACAAATGATTCACATTGAAGATTTCATCTGTATTTTGAAAACTACTAGGTGTCTTTGATTGATGAGGTGATCTGTTTGTGTTTTCTCCATACTCAGAAAAAGTGAATCAGGTAGAGGCCTGGAGTTCCATCCGTGGCCTGTGCCACTGGTTCCTGAGGGAGAGGTGCCCAAAGGCCAGGTGGAACAAAGCTAGCATTCAGTCAAACCAACAGAGAACAGTGACAAGCCTTGTCATGAGACTGAACTTGTAGCTGTACTTTCTTGAAAATCTATTTTTTCATATGTAGGAGATGTCTTAGAGCAGGGTGAACTAATTTCACAATTCAGAGTCAAAATAAATGAAAATCAAAAGAAACAGCAGCAAACCAAAAAACAAAAGCAAAAGCAAGAAATAGTCTCTTCAGACCTCACCTTTAAATTTCTAGGTGATGATTACCTAATGAGCTGCTTTTGCCTGCTGTATCAAGTGGCAGGAAAAAACGTCTAAACTCCTAACACAATACACACCATTCAAAATTAGAAGCACTTCATTCTCAGATAACACAGAGAAATGAAGAAATTAACTAGTAGCTTTCTATTTTAAATTAGCCCTCTATCCAGTCTGTACTGAGAAATCTATTGAGTAAAAATAAGATCGATGATATTTAAATAATTCAAAATAAATATGATATTTGATTAAGTTAACAGATAGATCTATATGATTTAATATTTTCCATTAATACATTTTTAATATTTGACACAAATGTAGATGTTTAGTGTTAGTTCTGCTTTTTCATCTTTTAACAAGAATGTGTTTCCTTGTTACTACATAGCCTTCACAAGCATCAATGGCTGATGACTGATAAAGACTATCCAATAAATACACAGAAGTTTACCTAACAATTCTCCTGCCATTGGATGTATTTTTCCAAATATTCTGCAAACATACTAAGCAGCTGTCCTTTCCAATGTGTCTAAGATGTCATTGCGATTATGGAAAACAACATATTTTTATTTCTCCCTTATAAGAATATGTTTTTAATGCAAGTCCATTTATTTCTGAATTTTTAAAAAAGCAGAATTCCAAGTATTCTCACTGTTACATGTATGATATCTCTTTTAGATTTACACTAGAGTTACATAGATAAGACACAGACTGATGGATTAAATGTCAATCCCGACTTTCCAAAAAAGAGTCTTTCACTAAATATTATTGCTAATGTCCACTATCAGATTAAGACATCTGGCAGCCGATAGCCAGATGACATCAAGTTACCTGCATTTCTTCCTTCAGAAACTCCGTGGCACACTTCATCCCTTCCCGGAAACATTTCGTAGGTGGGTCTCTGTTTTGCCAGAGTAAAGCAAAGCAGGCGCGACATCCCAGAGATTATGCAGCTACCTAATCTGCCCCCCACAGCTTTCTCCATGAGGAAAAGCTTCGGCACTAATTCTCTCTCCTAAAGTGTGACCACCGTAAGAACTTCCTGTGGTTCCTCCCCAATGACAAGCAGTTCATTCAAATCTGTGAGTGGGTAAAGTGAACGAGTAGAAGATACAGAGTTGAGGCACCGAACCCCAGCAGTTAGTGTTAAAAGTGTACTGTTGAGATATAGGTACTTACAGAAGTTTTTCTCTGTAAAAGATGATTTCTAACAGGATAAAGGAAAAAAAAAATTAAAACACTTTCCCTACAAGTAATGACTTAGGGGAGAGCCATTACATACATGCTGAACGTATAAGTGAAATAAATATATAGTTTAGCCCAGATTTGATGAGGCTTCAGGCTTCTTGGGGGGTAGTTCCTGAATCTGGGACAAGAAGATTGTGTCTAATCTAAATTCTATAACATATTCCACCTCATAGGGTGCTGTGCGCGAGGCCAGCTCTAGGCTATGTCGGTTCTTGGGTGAGGGTTATCAGGAAAGCTGCTCTATTCTGGGAGATTCTCTCTCCCCAGTCAGATACTAGTGCCCTCCTTTCCTCTTTTGTAATCCCCAGGTCAAAACTAAAATGTGAATGACTGATGACAGTTTAAAGTGTTACACCTCCCAGGGGGGAGAGAATCTGAATGGGCATGGAGCTTTCAGCTACTGGGTAAAGTTCTGATGGAGAAATCCCAAGTATCAGGAGAGGCTCTTTTTTATACTGCGAGGAGGTACGGGAGGATTTGGGGGAGCACCAGGGCCTTCCTGGAACATCTGACACACAAACTCCACTCTGTTTATATTTAAGGCCACAGTCTCCTGAGTACACACTGCTGAGCAACAACGTTTATTTTGGTGGGGAGGGGTCCCTTCAATGATTTAAAATTCCCCAGGCTTGAGGCAGAACCCAGTCTTTTGTTGCTGTTGGCTTAGATTTATGTATGGGATTGATATAAAAAGAACATTAGCTTTAGGAGCCTGAGCGCCTTCTGGATGTTACTATTCATATCTTGGGCAAATCAGTTAGCTTTGCAGAGCCTGAGTTTGGTTTTATTTTGGTTTTATTTTTGCTTGTTTGTTTTTTGTTTGGGTAAAATAGGAATCATTCCTACCTTCCAAATGTTTTGTATGGATAGGACACAGTGTGCCTAAGTTTCCTGGTGTATTGCTTGGCACTAAACAGGCACTCGATCAATGACATTTCGTCTTTCTTTCTTATATATTTCTATGATACTTAACGGTTAATGGGTCAGGGGACCTTAAAAGAAATGGCTATTTGTATTTTTAGCTGGTGTGTCTGTATGTGTGTGTTTTGGCATCAAGATGCATCTGATGATGATGATATTCTGGAAAAATCAAACAAAAACTGCTTTAAATGATTACTGCACCATTTTCTTTATTAACCCTCATCCCCATGTCCATTTGAGTAATCTAAGATGTCTGTGTCTGCATTAATAACACTCCCACGGTGTTTGGAAGAGATAATAACAGTCTATAGTAGCCAGAATTTATATGAAGGATAGGATCAGGATTTGTCTGAGCAGATTTTATCTTAAATATTTAAAGACTAAGCAGTAACCATTAATTTTAGAGTGAATCAAGAGACTGCATTTTAGCATTGCGACTTCAAAAAATTATCACTAAGTACCCTATGACTCTGAAGGGAAGAGAAGATACTAAAAATCATGATTTTTTTCCAACCTCAAGAAACGCATCTAGAAAGTATTGTAGAAGTGGCGCTTTTCAATGATTTTCTGCATTGTTGGTTTGTTTTTTTCAACCCTCCTGTTCCCCAGATAGATGTCAATATAACCTTTAAATTAGAATAAATGATAGCAATAACTAGTATTATTAGCACAGTAATTCTCAATCCCAATGGTGTGTCGCAATCGCCTGATCAGGGAGCTATTTAAAAATACAGATTCCTGGCCACCATCCCAGACTATAAATTGCAGTCTCCAAAGTGGGAAACAAGTATCTCTATTAAACAAACAAACAAACAAAACTTCACAGGTAATTCTTGTTATAGCCAGATTTCAAAAACATTGTTGCAGAACTCAGCCTTAGCACACAAGTACTAATTCAAATAAACAGCTCCCGGCTTATTCTCCTGGGTGAACCATCAAGGGGGAAAGAGGAAGACGGAAAGGAAATGGACACTTGTGGAGCATGTACTATGAGTCATATGTGGTGTTAAACACTTTTTCCCAGGTAAACATTACTGTACATTAGTACTTATATATCTATTTTGTAGTGGGGAAGCCCGGCATAGAGAGCTTAATGACTTTGCCCCATCAGGACATTGATATATTTAATCAGTAATGGATCCTACACATGAGCTCAGGGGGATCTCAAAATTGCTGTTCTTTCTAGTGGACCACACTGCCAAATATAAATGATGTGAGTTCAGTGGGTTAGATCTTGTTGAAGTTTTCTTTTGGCATCTCTTCTGTTAACTGCTTTTTATCCTTGTGGAAAATGTACAACCAGAACACAGTGATTCCCGTTAATATTGTAACATATGAAAAATTTTTGTTATGTGTAAGGTACTGGGCAATCGCAGAGAATGACACAAAAAGCAAGGAGAGCTGGGCACGGTGGCTCATGCCTGTAATCCCAACACTTTGAGAGGCTGAGGCAGGCGGATCACCTGAGGTCAGGAGTTCGAGACCAGCCTGGCCAACATGGTGAAACTCCGCCCCTACTAAAAATACAAAAATTTGCTGAGCATGGTGACATATGCCTGTAATCCCAGCTACTCGGGAGGCTGAGGCAGGAGAATTGCTTGAATCTGGGAGGTGGACGCTGCAGTGAACAGAGATTGCACCACTGCATTTCAGCCTGGGAGGCAGAGCAAGACTCTGTCACAAACAAACAAACAAAAAACCAAAAAGTGAGCAGAAAAGAGCCCTGCCTTCAGTTTGCCTACAATCTGGTTATGAGGATGACAAATCTACAAATCTACAAGGAAGAAAAAAAGATGAAGGTAAATAAAAAACACTATTACACACTGCAAAGAAATTATTACATCTCATCAAATGTATATAATTGTATGACTTATGATGAAGGATACATATTTTATGTGCCATTATGAAAGAAAAAAATACCCATACAATTTAACAGCCTACTCTAATGTTAGTGTTACAAATGCTGAATGGGTCCTAGCAGCTTCTTGTTGCTTTGAAATTTCTTTCATTCATTCTCAGGGATTTGGCCATGCCCCTGGCATAAGCTGCACAGCCTGGCATATGATAGGAATCCTTTTGCAAA
This sequence comes from Homo sapiens, assembly GCF_000001405.40. Lineage (NCBI taxonomy): Eukaryota > Metazoa > Chordata > Mammalia > Primates > Hominidae > Homo > Homo sapiens. The sequence continues at coordinate 181,290,453 of NC_000004.12, read as the reverse complement.
CACCTCCATAATAAAACAACCCGGCATCGTCTACTTCTGGGTACTTTGCTTTCTTGGGTCCTATAAAGCACTTGACTGTTACTTTGAATACTTGCTCCACTATTATAAAATTCATGGCCCTCTGCTCTGCTTCTGTGTTTTCTGCTTACACAATAACTAGTGTTTCGGTAGTGAGGCACTGTGTCATCTTTTCAAGGCATTTTAAATGGTGATTAACCTTAACTTGTTTAGTGCTAACTAGGTGCATAACTCAACTGAAGAAATGAAAAGAATAGCAGTGATGACCATGCGAGCACACACATTGGCAGAGACCACGACCTTGCCACAGCTGCCTGGTGGGCAGTAATTCTAAGAAATGATCAATTGTAAGGTGCATCTGGATTTCAGAGACATTAAAAGGTGAAAAAAATCACACCTCTAAAATCAATTTAAAATGGTTATTAAAGCGTAATAAGGACTTTTGAATGGGATGATACAGGCAGCATCAGAAAGGGGTTAATTCTGAGTTCATCAGGAATGGTTATTGGCAATGGGTACAGAAGAGAGGAGAGAAGAACTGCAAGAGCAAAGGTGCAGTGGAGAGAAAGCACCAGCCCACGGGCATGAGAAAGAATGACGTTTAAAACATTCCTGTATATTAGTATCTAGATACTCTATCATATTCTGTAGATTTAACGCTTTCTACCACCTATATAATAAAGTGCAGAACCTTCAGAACAGAATCCAAGACCTTCTGTAAGTCGGCCTCAATCAGCCTCTTCTATTTTCTCTCACCCTCTGCGAGTACTTCACGCTTCGCTATCACGTTCCCACCTTCAGGCACTGCCTAGAGTTCCGAATACAGGTCCTTGTATTTTAATACACCAACCTCTTTCAATGCACAGTTATGGCAGGAATGGGCATTTCATGAACAGTAATCCTTTCCGTAAGACAACTACACGAAAATCACCCTGTGGTTTATGCTTGCCAGAGCCATTTGCAAAGGCAGGTGCTGTTGAGCTGTTTGTGACTGCCCGCTGGATTCGTGGTCAGCCCTAAGAAGAGCCGCCCTATCACTGATTGTTTCATGCAAAATGAAGGAGCAGAGCCGTTAAAGGCAAACAGTGTGACACAGGTGTTGAATTACTTTTCTCAGTGTGCTATATTCCGTGCCTTTCCACTACTGAGAAAGACAACTAGGTGCTTAGCTTGAGTGTGCACTGTGCATGTTTATGTGCTATTATTCATGAGGTTAAACACAATCTCAGCCAAGTCATGGTTTGTCTCCCTTTAGTGAAGCATTTCTTTGAAAAATTTCAGGTACTATAATTGCATTTTAAAGATACATAATAAATTGCTATTAGGCTCTGGTTAGGAGGTTTGCTGAGGTGTGAACTGACCATTTTGTTCCTTTCTCTTTTATCAATAGTTGCTTTAAACCCCACAGTCTTCAGAAGACAAAAAGATGCACTGGAATATCAAAGGCTGTAGGTTTATTACTATACATTATGAATAATTTAAGGCAGTAACAAAATAACACACTGATAAAAGCCAACAAGTAATATTCTATTCATAGCTGACTGGATAATCAAAGCCATTGTAGGTGCTTTTTCTAATCCTAATTTAGAATTTGCATTATGGCTTTTTGCTTTCCCAAACGATAACCTCCTATTTGAAGAGGTATACTGCACACCCCTTAGAGTCCTTTACAATTGGGTTCAAAAGGACACTTCCACTACATACAACAGAAAGAAAATGATTCATGAATAAAGAGCAACTTTGTCTTAACTATTTCACCTTTTCCTTATTCTGTTGGTCTCATACTTGAAATTCTACTGTGGAACTGTCAAATTCCACAAAGATCATAGTGACCTTAGAAAAAACGATATATAATATCATAGGGTCATAAAAGATTAATAATTGGGTCATTTAGATTTGGCAATCTTCAATATATCATGTATTTATCATAAAACAAATTGGCCAAACTTTGTAGAATTAAAACTGTCTTTGATAGTAGATTCCCCTGATGAATGGATTAAATACAAGTTTTTTATCTTTCTCGATGAAGTTTGCCTGCTAGAAAAATTAACAGCTTTCTCAATTGCTCTTCGATGGCTTTGTCTTGAGAGCCAGAGAAACCCAATGTTTACCACCTTTGGCATCAAACTACAATTCTACTGGAGAAAACTCGGCCAAGCCCCTTTGTGACCTTTGAATCTCTGATTTTCATTTTTCTTTTGACACATGAGAATCATTGCTGTCTGTAGTAGAGAAAAGGGGAAAATCTCAAGGTCACGCTCTGTTTCTGGAGTGATTTTGTTCCTTAGAAAGACACGTTCCATTTTTGCTTAAATAACATTTAGTGCATTAATCATACGGGACTGATTCAGGCATTAGAAAAAAAGACAACCCATATTCTTTTTCCCAGCCCAGAGCACGTGCTTGATCAAGAATAGAATCACTGAGTTTGAATCAGCAATCACACAAAACAAGGGGAAGAAAGGCTAAGAGAAGTTTTCTGAAAGAAACCTCTTGGGACTACTTTGCAGTTAGAGGAAGAATGGAGATTACAGAGACAGGGTTTCTCCTAAGAGGGAGGGCTTGAGTGCAAATTGCTCCTACCCTATCTCTGCAGGTTCTGCAAGCCTCACCTTCAGTTGGGAAATTACTAGCACCTTTTAGTACAGCCCAGGCCTTTTTATCTGATTACCATACATTCTTATCTGAGGCTTTAAATCTGTATGTCAGTCAGTGACAGCATCATAGAACTCTGCCATTTTTTTTAAGTAATCAAAGCAGAGAATCTCTGAAATCAGGTGATAAAATATACAAGAAATAAGATTGATTTCATTCTGTTTCTCTCAGAGCAGCTGAATCATAAAAGACTGCACAAAAGAAAACCTAAACCTTTTCTAAAATGGCTTGGGTTGGGAGGTATGCATTTTCATTTAAATGCAGACATTGGCTCAAAAATATTTGAAGATGGTTAATAGAAAATGGATTTGCCTACGGTAGAATGTATTTGGGTGCTATTCAATATGTTATTCACCAGACCAGCAATGAAGTAATTACAATTGCTTTTTCCCATTTTCATTTTTTCTTAAGAAAAGCTTCAAGTTAAATTTTATACTTAAATATAGATATTTCAACTCTGGATCAGTTTTCTCTGACAATGAAAGCAGAAGCTTATTTGTAAACCATCAAATATTGTGTCAAATGACAAAAGAGGATAAAATATTTTTATCTCTATTTAACTTGTTGCAGTAAGGAATTGCCAATAGTTTATTATTCAAAAAGTACTTAGGGGACTTGCGTTAATGCAAGATCCCAGAGGATGAAACAAAAATGAAGAGGACCATATCCTTCAAGTCTAGGAATTTATGATCTAATAAGGCTCTTAATGTCTTTGTGCTTCTCTCTATTTTATTTTCTATTAAAAAAACAGCAAAATTCACATTCAGTAAGTTACGTATGGCCGGGTGCGGTGGCTCACGCCTGTAATCCCAGCACTGTAATCCCCGCCCAGGCTGAGGTGGGCGGATCACGAGGTCAGAAGATCGAGACCATCCTGGCTAACACGGTGAAACCCCATCTCTACTAAAAATACAAAAAAATTAGCCGGGCGTGGTGGCGGGCGCCTGTAGTCCCAGCTACTCGGGAGGCTGAGGCAGGAGAATGGCGTGAACCCGGGAGGCGGAGCTTGCAGTGAGCCGAGATCGCGCCACTGCACTCCCACCTGGGCCACAGAGTGAGACTCCATCTTAAAAAAAAAAAAAAAAGTTACATCTAACTAGAAGTGTTATCTGCTGCACTATGGGAACAAAAGAGAAGTGATATTAATTTAATACCTATTGCATGCCATTCACTATGCCAGGTACTTGACAAGCATAATCTCATTTAAAATGTAATTCATTTTAAAAAGCATCAAATTTACAGAAAAACTAAAAAAAAAAAAAGTATAAGTACACGGAGAAACCCCATTCAACTTTGACTCATTTCCTCTGTCATGCCCTTTGCCGCAAAAAGGCTCAACCTGGGATCACATATTGTACCCACCGATGTCTGCTTAATCCCCTTCCATCTGGAACAGCTCCTCAGCTTTTCCTCCACTTTTACAACTCCGACATTTTTCAAAGTTACAGGCCAGACACTTTGTAGAATGTTCATCACTTTGATTTTGACTAATATTTTCCCATGATTAGATTCAAAGTATGCACTTTGGGCTGAAACAACACGGAAACAGTGCTGTGTACTTCCCACCGCATCCTACTGCTGGAACAACCATGTCAATTTGCCCCACCACTGGCTATCTCCTTCAAGTAAACTTTATTTTTTGATTACAGTAGGAATGTATCTTCCTTACTAAAATTCAAATGTTGAAAATATTTCTGCCTGGGCACGGTGGCTCACGCCTGTAATTCCAGCACTTTGGGAAGCCGAGGCTGGTGGATCACTTGAAGCCAGGAGTTTGAGACCAACCTGGGCAACATGGTGAAACTGCGTCTCTACTAAAAATACAAAAATTACAGGGTGTGGTGGTGGGCACTTGTAATCTGTAATCCTAGCTGCTTGAGAGGCTGAGGCATGAGAATTGCTTGAACTGGGGAGGAGGCAGAGGTTGCAATTAGCTGAGATTGTGCCACTGCACTCCAGCCTGGACAACAGAGCAAAACTCCATCTCAAAAAAATATAAAAAAAGAAAGAAAATATTTCTAACATGCCAGAGAAAAACTAATTATGGCTTTTCTGCCCCATAATTGCTCTAATACTGTTTCTGTTGCCTACTACTGTTTTCTGTTTGCATAACTTAATATACATTGATCTCGCTGTTATGTATCACATTATCTCTTTTAATTCCCACAAACAATCACATAAAGACCTTTTTTAAAAGCCCATATTGGCTAAAAAGGACATTTGCCTAAGGTCATACACATAGGAACTAGGATGGGAAAAGAGATCTTTTTGAAATCAAGTTCTGTGTTTTATTACGCGTTAGTTATAAAGTACACTCGTATATAAAGGCTGTATAAGAGAGATATTTAAAGCCAATATCTGTAATATCTGTGAATGAAAAAAATGTTTTAAAATAAAATTGTATAGGGGATGTTAACTATGAAAATAACATCATCCAGCTTTGGTGAGGAAATCATTTCCTTCTTATCCTTACAGTAGCAATCACAGTATTTTGTATTTGTTATTTTTTTACTTTAAAAATAAATACATTTAATGTATATAGATCTACATACATTTTGTAATGTGTGCACATCTTTCTGTTTTAGGAATGTGATTCTGCATCATCACATTCTTTTTAACTTTTAATTTTTATGGGTACATAGTAGCTGTATATATTTACGGGGTACATATTTTGCTACAGGCATACAATGTATAATATTCACATCTGGGTAAATGGGGTATCTGTCGCCTCAAGCATTTATCCTTTCTTTGTGTCACAAACATTCCAATTATACCATTTTGTTATTTTAAAATGTACGATACATTATTGTTGACTGTAGTCGCCCTGTTGTGCTATCAAATACTAGATCTTATTCATTCTAAGTATATTTCTGTACCCACTTCCCCCAACTACTTTTTAAATATATGACTGTTCACTGATCCCTCTGGATGGCTTTCCATTTATATTTTCACTGTCACTTTTTCTATCTTATTAGTTGCCGTATAATTAAAATATTATAACCAGTGTATTCTGTTGAATATAGTACTGAGGTAGAAACCAAAGGAACTGCATTCCATTTCTAGTTCTGTCACTTTCTAGCTCTGAATGCTGAGGTCGCTTTTTTTTTTTTTTTTTTACCTCCTCTGTCCCTCAGTTTTCCATAAAATTAAGATAATAACTCTCCTAGCTTTGCCACATATTATGAAATTTAACACAATGAAGAAATCAATATGTGAACACATCTTCTTTCTCCTCTTCCTCCTCAACCTACATCTCATTGCCCCATGAAAAATTGTGCCTTGCCACGTAGGGCCTAGGGACTGTCACTCGCCATGATGGGAAGGTAACCCAGCTTCCTCTCTGAAGGCTATAGGGATCCATATGAGCTGTCCCAGAACCTGCAAACCAAAATGTTTTACTCCCTGTCTCTCTTTCTTATAAAATGACTCCTGTGTGCCCTAAGGACCCAGGACTCAGAAATATCTAGGCATAGAATGGAGATGGGGGTGCTGGATGGTGTGAAGAAGAAAGCAGCTTTGCTTCCTGCCAGAAGTGTTTGCACTCGTGAAATGTAAGTTTAATATAATTTCTCAATAGGCGACTTTGCTTAGTTAAACTTACACATATGAATTTCTTCCTCCTCATCTGCCCACCCATCTCTATTACCCCCTCTCTATCCACCTCTTCCCACCATGCTCTTTCTCCTGGAATGAGTTTCAGGTTCTGGAAACGCTCTGCTGCCATTTTTCCACCAATACCTGTACTTCCTTTAGCAGGAGGTGGAAATGAGCTATAACTTGTCTCTGGGTAACTTAAAGGTGTAGGAAGTTTACACTCGGGTTCACTGAGAGATGTTGGTTGTTTTTCTGAGTGTGCATTCTTGGGAAAGGAGGATGGTGAGAGGATGAGAGCCCTGTGTGTTTGAAAGGCTTTGGGAGGAGTGGAGGTTATGAGGGTTGGGAAGGAGTGGAGCAGATCGAACACCTATGAATAGACAAGCAGTTCTTATAGGGGTGGCCTTGATTTTGACGGATCTATCAGTCTGTCACTATCTAGACCAGTAGTGAAGCATGAGGAAATTATTCTCTCTCTCTATCTTCTTTCATTTATTGAAACATACATCATTCATCAAATACCAAGCATTGTAGTTGGAGACACATTGGCAGGAGCTGAGAATGAGAATACAGAGATGAGTTAGTCCCTGCTGTTGAGAAACATGAAGTATAGCAGGGGAGACAGATTATATATTAATAGTAGAACAAATTTTCTTTTTCTTTTGGCTTCTTCTCTTCCACCTGGCCAAAATTAAGTCATAAAATTAATATTTATTCTGAAAATAGAGCATCTCAAAATTTGTGATCCTAGATCTCGAACAATCTTAAATGCATCTATGGACCACTGGGAACAAGTTTCACTCCAGTACATTCATTCTACTAATCTTTGCTGACATCTTACACAATTAACTCAACCAACAAAATTCAAAACTGTTCTTCATAAAGAAAGTGAAGAAAGGCCGGGTGCAGTGGCTCACGCCTGTAATCCCAGCACTTTGGGAGGTCATGGAGGTGGATCACTTGAGGTCAGGAGTTCAAGACCAGCCTGGCCAACATGGCAAAACCCCATCTCTACTAAAAATACAAAAATTAGCCAGGTGTGGTGGCCCATGCCTGTAATCCCAGCTACTCAGGAGGCTGAGGCAGGAGAATCACTTGAGCCCAGGAGGCAGAGGTTGCAGTGAGCCGAGACTGCACCACTGCACTCCAGCCTGGGCAACAGAGTGAGACTCCATCTAAAAACAAACAAAAAAAGCAAGGAAAGTGTACAAAAGTTATTAATTTTTAAATGAGTTAAATTTCAATTTATCTCAGTGAAATTTAAATTAATAAAATAACTGTAGCATTTAAAAATAATGCAAAATATTCCTACACTTGGGGAACACCACTGTATAAGATTTACCATCCTCATTACCTCAAAAAAGAAAAAAAGTCTTGCTATCTGACACAATATATTATAAAGAAAGTCAGATATTTTGTTTTGTTTCCACTCAGAAGATTACTTTAATGCTCATTTCCCTTGTTTAGGTCATCATAGAATAACAGATATTTCTGCTTAACATAAAATATAAATTTTCTTCTTGTTGCATTTACTACCTTCTGTAATAGAAGAAAAATATTACAGAGATTCTTAGTTGAAATCAATTAATGTTCATTATCAATTTTTGCCGGGCTTCAGTCCATGGCTGTTAGCGACGCTTTCATTAGGGAAATGCTGCTTATTTGAAGTAGCTTAGTATAATCAGTAGTTAGATCAGTGGCATCGGGTGTCAGAAGACCAAGATTTCAATCCTAGTTCTTCCTCTCTGGAGTTGTGTAACTTCGGACAAATCCTGTCTTTCCTATTTTTTTTTTTTTTTTTTTTTTTTTGAGATGGAGTCTCGCTCTGTCGCCCAGGCTGGAGTGCAGTGGCACAATCTCGGTTTACTGCAAGCTCTGCCTCCCGGGTTCTCGCCATTCTCCTGCCTCAGCCTCCCGAGTAGCTGGGACTACAGGCGCCCGCCACCACGCCCGGCTAATTTTTTTGTATTTTCAGTAGAGACGGGGTTTCACCGTGTTAGCCAGGATGGTCTCGATCTCCTGACCTCGTGATCCGCCCGCCTCGGCCTCCCAAAGTGCTGGGATTACAGGCGTGAGCCACCGCAGCCAGCATGTCCTCTTAGTACTATTGTGAGATTGAACTACTGGTGTATGTAAATAAATTTGTTGACCGCAGGATAGAATTGGAGTAAATTAATAAACTTTAAGTATTATTAGAGGTAGATTTCTTAATGTACGTTTGGAGGATCCACAAAGAATCTTAGATCGTTGAAGCACCATTCTTAGTAAAAAGGAATCCATTTAGGATTTAGTTCAATAATTTTATAATTAAAAAATATGGCCTTAGTCTCAAAGTCTATGTAGAAAACAAAAGTAGCACGTACTAAGAAAAAGTCCCTATCCATCTAGGCTCCGTCTCATTCAGATCACGGCCTTGTTAACTGGCTCTGTGAGTAGAATGAAACGTGTGTTTTGGTCTTGGCCTTGATTTCAAGTGTCTGCTTCAAATCTGGGGTAATTTCCAGACAATGTTTTTTTTCGCTTCTCTGAATAAAGAGGCCTTTCATCATAGCACGACTGTGAGTCCTGCTTGAGAATGGCGCTCCCATGGTAGTTCTGGACGGGAGCATGCTGCGATGTCTGAATGTTCTGTTTTCTCATTCTGGGGAATCCTTGAAGGTTTCCTGAGGTGTGCTCTGCCTGCCTTTTACAAATCTTTGACCAATGAGCATCTCACTAATGTGTGCTCACTGGCAGAAAACAGATTCTAATTCATGAGGGGGCACTGGAGATGGCAAATTAAAATTGGAAATTGGCAAATCCTTGTCACGCGACATTTAGGGACAAAGCAGAGGTCATAAATTAGAGGTTTATGGCCAAATCTAGCCTGTAGAAGTTTTCTGTTTGAATCACATTGTGTTTTAAGATATTCTTAACTAGTCGCTCACATGTTAAAATTAAGAAAGTTTATATAAAAAGCTGGGTTTCTGGCTTCTCTCGAAAAATTAAAGGTGACCAAATCGGTCCTATGTCCCTGTGGCTGCGGAGCTGAGCAGAGGCCCTATTGTATAGTGGCTAAGAACATGGACCTGGGTTTCCTTCCTGCTTCCACCCCTTCTGAGCTGTGTTTCTTAGGCAAGTTACTTAACACCCCCATGCCTAAAATGGGAATGATAGTTGTACCTTTTCATTCAGGCTGCTGTGGAGATTGGCTGAGTTAATGTCTGTAAACTACACAGGAGTGCCTGGCCCATAGTAATTAGTATAAATACGTGTACTAGCAATTCTCATTGGATGCTTTAGTTGGGCCATGTGCTTTATTTCTTTTTTGTTTTATTTTATTTATTTTTTCGGGACAGAGTTTCACTCTTGCCGCCCAGGCTGGAGTGCAATGGCGCGATCTCTGCTCACAGCAACCTCCGCCTCCCAGATTGAAGCGATTCTCCTGCCTCAGCCTCCCGGGTAGCTGGGATTACAGGTGCCTGCCACCATGCCCAGCTAATTTTGTATTTTTAGTAGAGACGGGGTTTCTCCACGTTGGTCAGGCTGGTCTCGAACTCCCGACCTCAGGTGATCCACCCGCCTCCGCCTCCCAAAGAGCCGAGATTACAGGCGTGAGCCACCGCGCCCGGCTGGCCATGTGCTTTCTAGTTTGCCTCATTTCATCAATTATTTTAAAACTTGCCTAATTTTTGTAAATGTTTGGAATTTTATTCTTTGGATCATCACCACTTTCTCCCCCAAATAAAATGGTAGACAGAGACTACCTAGATTCCACAGGCTGTAATACACAAATGACTCAAATTTTTTTTTTAATTATGAGAAAAAGCCAACATCATACAAATAGTTAAAATTTCTATATTACCATTTGGAGAGCCAGATTCACATTTTATAATTAATTTACCTGCCAAAGACAGCCAGATTAAAAAATATGAGACTCACATTTCACCATAAATAAAAATAGATGACAAGTGACAAGTCAAGCCTTTGTTTACCATTTTTCTATTTTTATGTTTTGTTGTGAAACTGGGAGTAGAATGCAGATATTTGTCATTTTTAAAAAGTTGGACGTGCACGTAGCTGAAAAGGATGTAAAATTGATTTTCTGATAAGAGTTCAATTGCTCAAATTAAAAAAAAAAATTACAAGTGATTAGGATAAACAACCATAATACATTTTCCAACGTTTTGGTTCCTCTTTCTCACCAGAAACAGGGGGTTAGATAGAGCACTGGAGGAGGAGTCAGGAGCCCTGGGTGTGAGTTCTGGAACTGATAGTAACTACCTGAGCAAACCCCTTAATCTTTCTGGGACCCCACTGATTCATCTATAAAATAAAGATGTGTGTATCCTGTTTATGACAGACAGGAGTAGAGTGAGCATCAATGAAATTTATTATGGATACCTATGACTAATTTTAATGAACTTCATAAGTCTAGTCGTTTTGGTATTTTGTACATATAATCCAATAAAACAAAACAATATAATTAATCATGTAAGGAGTTTAAAATTTTTCAGTTTTTAATGTTTCTTCAAGTTTACTGACATCTTCGTAAATACCCAGCATATCAAGTTAAGTATATTGCAGCTTATTAAAAAACAATGTGCTAAATGAAGTAGAAAGAATGCTCATAAGCCTCTCTTTCCAGCAGCCAGGACTATATTTTGTACCTAATAACATACAAAATTAATAGAAATTGATGCTGGAGTTCAATGCACTCCTCAAACTAGTCCGTAAAAAGCCGTGCTTTCTTGTGGTGAGATGCCAAAAAAAAAAAAAAATTCATCCCATTCATTATTCTGGACAGATCAGAAACCTCTCTTGGGAAGCCTATAAAAATCTACTGCAAAGAATAAAGCTATAATATACTGTCAGCAACAATTTGCCTTGGCAGGGGATGGACAAATGATCTAACAGTCCCTTTTATTTCTAATTTCTATGATTCTGTATTTTTTCAAGCCTTATATAGTTCTCTTAACCCAATTCTGTTGTATACTGAGCCAGAATCTCCCAGTGTTTGAATGGCTCTCCGGGGTTATCAGGTACTTTGGGAACACAAGTTAACACCTTGTTCAGCAGGTTAACTCTTTTATGACTCATGTGTTCTGAATGAAGCCTCTGTATTTACATGCAAAGTATGATCATTCTTATGCGTTGATATAGACAGTGTTTTTCTGCATGGTCAAAATCAGCAAAGATTTAGAACGAAAGCTCAGCTGCCTTCATTATTTGTAGCTCTTAATGGTTGTGAATCTCAGGCACTCTGTTTTGTCCTGAAGCCAGCTACAGCCCTATCTTCCTATTATGCAGATATTGCTTCAAAACTCTTCAGATTCTTTAGTGTCTACAGGATAAAGCCTAAATTTATTAACATGATTATTCTCACCCCAATGCTTACATATGTTGGAAGAAATTATATTTTGCGCATCTCCTTGCTGCAGGCACCATTCTCTAGGCTGAGGATATGGCAGTAAACTTGACTGGCATCCCTACCTCCTGTGGCTTGCCTCTAACAGGGAATCAAACAATCAATATTGCAAATTATAAAATGTAGAATAGACAATAATGAGTGCTAAATAGAAAAATAAATTAAAGAGGGCAGGAAATGTACTGAATAAAGTCTTATGCATTTTGTATCTTGAATGTCAGGTAATGCTTAATAGATATTGGCTAATTAAATGATACAGTATAACCTATACCCCTTATGTCTTTAAGGCCCACATACATCTGAATGTAATTTGTGTGTTTAGGAAAGGTGAAGTTAGAGGCTTATTCTTGGGCGTTTGATTCCTAGAAAATGCACAAAATATAAGTTGTCTAAGGACAGAGAGATTGACTGTTTTCTTCACAATAGAATTCCAAGTGCATGGAACTAGGTCACAGCAGAGGCTCAATATATATTTTTTTAATGAATCAGTGAAACATTTGGGCAGATGCAAATCCAGGTGTGTGGTCAGAAGAAGAGAGTGCGCGTCCCATCAGCAATTACGTGCTGAGCCACTACTTCACAGAATCAGAAAGTTTGAAAGAATGTATATTATTTTGTCCTTTGCACCTGATAAGGTAGGAAATTCTTTTATTCCATGGAGAAATTGGAACAACCACTACTATAAAAATGCAGCATGTATGTAATGTGTGCTTCCTTGCAGAAATGTTAGAAAACAATTGACTTCTCAGCTTAAATTAAGAAACAAAAATAAACAAACAAAAAAAACTCATAGGCTCTTGTTGACAATTAAAACAGCATCCCTCTACCTAATTACTTGGAATGCAAAAGTCCCGGTGGAAGGGACAGGGGTCAGAAGTTAATACTTTTAGTGGTCATTACTGCTCTTTTAAAAATTAATATCAATGAATTTTAGATGGCTTCCTATAGAGGAAGTTTTCCCTGGGATGATAATGGGAGAAAGGGAGTTTGAGAGGACTGGGTCAGTAGGGAGAAGCAGATAATTTTTTTCATCTATTTCACATTTTTGCCTAGTTCAGATTCTATTTAAATTATCTACCGGCAAAAAAAAAATTATTATAAAATAGAATTATCCCGTAGCATCTTACGCATTTGCACAACGTAAAACCACGACAGCAAATGAAGCCTGGAAAAGTAATGGTTAGTAAGCCCTTTATAAGAAAGAAGACTTCCTAGTCTGAAGACCTGGGTTCAAGAGTTGTCTTCACCTTCTAGTTCTCTATACTTTTTCTGTTATTGGTACATAATATTGTAAATATCCATGGTCTACATGTGGGCAGTTGTTACATGCATAGATTGTTTAATGATCAAGTCAGGATATCTGGGCTGTCACGTTGAGCATTTATCATTTCTATGTGTTGTGAACATTTCAAGTCCTCTCTTCTAGCTACTTCGAAATATGTAGCATATTGTTACTAACTATAATCACCCTAGTCTGCTATCGAACATGATAACTTATTTCTTCTATCTAACTGTATGCTTGTACCCAGTACTAACTTCTATCCATTTCCCCGTCCTACCCTTACATCATTCCCTGACTCTGATTTCTCTCTTTCTATTCTTTATGTCAATGAGATGAAGATTTTCAGCTTCCACATATGAACAAGAACATGCAATAGTTGTCTTTCTGTGCCTGGCTTATTTCAGTTAACTTAAGGATCTCCAGTTCCATCCATATTGCTGCAAATGGCATGGATTTATTCTTTTTAAATGGACAAATAGTATTTCATTGTGTACATATACCACATTTTCTTTATTCCTTTATGCGTTGATGGACACTTAGGTTGATTCCATAACCTTGCTATTGTGAACAGTGCTGCAATGGACATGGGAGTTTAAGTATCCCTTGGGCCCACCAACAGTCTCTTTAAAAAGAAATTCTCTTAGCTACTTAATGGGCATAATATATGGCTGTCAGGGATACTTCATAGGGTTTTGTGAAAATCAAGTAGCAAAGTGAAAGATTATTGAAAGGAAGTAGAAAAGCATTTATGCAAACATGAGTTATGGGCCAAACAATAAAATAGACATCCCTCTCATGTGTTGAATATGCAGGAAGTAAAAATAAGGAACATCATATTACAGAATCTTTCTGTTTCCTGGCTGTATGATTTCCATTGGAATATATTGATTTTTAAATTATGCGTATGTCAGGCTACGTTGATTTTTCTTCCTGTTATGGAATGAATTTTTGTGTCACCACCCCCAAAGCAACCCCCTAAACCCCCAAAAGGGGTTAGGTTATAATCCAAACCCCTAATGTGATGGTACTGGGAAGTGGGAACTTTGGGAGGTGATTAGGTCATGAGGGGGGAGACTTCTTGAGTGGGATTAGTCCCCTTATAAAAGAGGCCCCAGAGAGCTCCTGTATTAATCCATTCTCACACTGCTAATAAAGACATACTCAAGATTGAGTAATTTATAAAGGAAAGAGGTTTAATTGACTCACAGTTCAGCATGGCTGGGGAGGCCTCAGGAAACTTACAATCATGGTGGAAGGGGAAGCAAACATGCCCTTCTTCACATGATAGAAGGAAGGAGAAGTGCAGGGCAAAAGGGGGAAAAGTCCCTTATAAAACCATCAGATCTCATGAGAACTCATTCACTATCAGGAGAACAGCATGAGGGTAACTGCCTCCATGATTAAATTACCTCCCACTGGGTCCCTCCTCTGACACATGGGAATAATGGGAACTACAATTCAAGATAAAATTTGGGTGGGGACACAAAGCCTAATCATATCAGCTCTCTTGCTCCTTTTGCCACATGAATATACAAAGAGAAGACAGCATCTATGAACCAGGAAGCAGGTCCTCACCAGACACCCAATCTGCCAGCACCTTGATCTTGGACTACCCAACCTCCAGAACTCTGAGAAATAAATATTTGTTGTTCAAGCCTCCCAGTCTATGGCATTTTTATTATAGCAGCCTAAATAGATGAAGACGACCTCTAGTAGTGTACTATCTCCAGTCTTCCTGTCATTATCTAGGATTATATTTTTTTCTTTAATGTGGTTCTGAGATACTGGATATATTTTCAACATTATTTTAGTTGTACAGCTGCCTTTGTTTAAAATTAAATAAAAGTTCTTGGTTACATACCCAAATATTTATAGTGTTTCCATTTAATAAGTTTAAAACTATGTTTTTGCATATAGAAACTTTCAATAAAAAGAAAAATTATAGGTGTCATGGCTATATTAGCTGGCTGGTGTTGAAGTCACTGTTTTCAACTAGTAACCAAAACCATATACACCCCCACAGCTTATTGTCTGAGTTAACATACCCTTACTTTGTTACAAAACTTTTACCCAGATAGATAAAACTGTAAGTAACGTTATTGTTTGTTTTAGGAGCTTCTTAAAAGTAAAGAACTAGTTAGCTAGATAGCTCAATTAGGCTTATTTAATCTATAAGACTTGGCTGGGCGTGGCCTCATGCCTGTAGTCCTAGCACTTTGGGAGGCTGAGGCAGGAGGATCACATGAGGCCAGGAGTTCAAGACCAGCCTGGGCAACATAGCCAGACCCTGACTCAAAAAAAAAAAAAAAAAAAAATCCAGGTGTGGTGGTTCGTGCCTGTAGTCCTAGCTACTAAGGAGGCTGAAGTGGGAGAATCAGTTGAGCCCAGGAGTTTGAGGCTGCAGTGAGCTATGATTGTCCCACTGCATTCCAGCCTGGATGACAGAGCAAGATTCTGTCTCTGAAAAAAAAATTCTATAGGACTCACTTTAAGAGCCTCGCCTCAGCAAGCTTTGTCCATGAACCTTAAACCATTAGGTCAAGAACTCACACAATCTTCATCAAACTCTTGTTTAAAAGTGTCCAAAATCTATTCCACCATTCTCTCCCCTCTCTAAGATGGTTCTAAGATTCTGTAAATGTAGTAATCACCTATTGCAATAAACAAATATAGCTTTGTATCATCAACAAGTTGTATATGAGCTATACTCAGGGAGCTAGCATTTGACAAAACTTCAAGGGATTTGAAAGTTTCTTTTTTTCTTAGTTTGAGGAATTAGTCTAATAAATTTGAACATCTTTCAAACTGAATTATGAGAACTAGAAATTAAATTATTATCTACATGAAGTGGGACTTTTAATGCTTGACTTCTACTTATTCTCAATACACTGAATCAATGCTGATCTTCCTATAGAATATAAACACTTGTCAAAGTTTGCACAGTGAAATTAGCTGATCACTTTTGCAAACCACATGACCTTTGCTAATATTCATTGAACTGTGCTGTGTTTGCAAATGCAATGGATATGTATTCTGGATGCTACATGCATAACAATATGTGAGATAGTTTTCACTTTCCGAGAATTAAAACCCAAGAATCATGGACCAAAACAGGAGTGTTTTTTTCTAACTTCTTTGTACAAGTTTCACTCCTCTCGCCTGAAATGGGTGTTACACATATAATAAATAGTGAACAGACTTTCATTATCTATCTATCAATCCTTCACATTTTAAAAGAATCCTTCATGTGTGTATTTTAAAGTGATGTACTAAAAAATGGAAATTATGCCTTCAGATAAAAGCAGTTCTAAAAATATATTAAATGTAGATTTAAATTTAGTTAATGTAGCAGTAGATTTTACTGAACAGGGAGAGGATTTGAAACTGAAGGACAGCAAAAGAAGGTCTATAGTCATACTAGATTTGTGTTTGACAAGGTATGAGACCCATCAAGTCTAGGCACAGAGGTCATCAGAAACATCTTAATAAAAATGTGAATGTAAAGACCATGACTATATGACATATCTGATCTAGTCTGTGATGTCAGACATCTGGTATTGAGTATGGTCAGTGTCTAAAAACTATATCATAGGCTAGCTTTAAAATTACTGTAAACTCTCTCTTGTTTCTATAGGTTACCCTCCTCCTATTTCCAGCAATGTCTATGAATACTTCATTTAAGCCAAGGAAGAAGAATTCCCACTTGGGACTTCTAACTCTCATCTAACCTTGATTCAATGGGTGGTCAGCGTTAACAGGACAAAGAGTCTATAGGAAGCTGGGCGCGGTGGCTCATGCCTGTAATACCAGCACTTTGGGAGGCCGAGGTGGGTGGATCACTAGGTCGAAAGATTGAGACCATCCTGGCCAACATGGTGAAACCCTGTCTCTACTAAAATACAAAAAATTAGCCAGGTGTGGTGGTGCATGCCTGTAGTCCCAGCTCCTTGGGGGGCTGAGGCAGGGTAATTGGGGAATCGCTTGATCCCGGGAGCCAGGGGTTGCAGTGAGCCAAGATTGTGCCACTGCACTCCAGCCTGGTGACAGAGTGAGACCCTGTCTCAAAAGGGGGGAAAAAAAGTCTATAGTTGGGAGAGACATTTGGGAGCATGCACGAATATTTTAACAACTACCAATAAAACTCCCAAGTGGATATTGATGGGAAAATATTTTGAAGTCAGTTAAGCAGTGAACACCGACCTTAAAACTAGTAGCAGGTTTACCCTAGAAGCAGAATAAATTGATCCTAGTGGGAAGGTGTTGGTAAACATTTGCAACTCAATGCTTGGAAAAAAGCTTTAATTCCCAATAATTCCACATAAAGTGGTACAAAAAAGTTATTTTAATCATCTAAATAGTATGTCAAGCAGAAATGTTTGCCTAGACCCCAAATCACTAACTTCATTAGCTGCATGATAGAGGTCAAAAAGAAAATCAAAACAATTATTGAAATAAAAGAAAAACTAAACTTATTGTTCCTATCTCTCCCCAGTGCCTTGAGTCATTATTCTTGTGCAAGTTAGAAGTTCTACCAAGATTATTAACTGTTTCGGGCCACCAATATGCTATTTATTATACTACTGCAATGACATATCTGTTGACAATTCTCATTTGCTACAGTACCATCATGGCCACATGACAGAATATACTCCCACTATGTTCAGAATGTGGTGTCATCCATGAAATCAAATTCCCGAATATGACATTTTGCAGTGACTGAAGTTTTAGATATTGCTCAAAAGATTAAAGAGTGGAAGGTGCTAGAAGAAGTAGAAATAGAGGCCAGTGTTGGGATCATGTTAGTAGCACTGCCACCTCCTCTCAATAGCTGCATGTTGATGTAATTGGAAAGACCAACAAGACGTCCTCTTTATCCGTGGTGTCTGCCATTGGATTGACAGTCGCAAATGTTATTTTTGGGCCTGGTTCCAAGCTTCACTCTAACATGAGAGCCTGTGAAAAGCTTAGCAAGATTGTCACATGCCAGAATGTGATCATCTATGGGTAACTATTTTAAAACTGGAGTATTTTTGTTTACTGAATGTTTAGAGAGGTTAAATATTTAAAAGTGTGTCTCTATTTCCATATGGTTTAATAGGTTCTCCTCTTTGGAAAAAAATATTAATTTCAAATGTCAAAAATCTCATGGAACTCTCATTTTTAGTAGCTCTACTTTTACTGCATCTTGAGTGAAACAAAAATATTGACTATACTATATTTCAGGTATATTTTAGGTGGATTTGCATTTTATTTATCATAATGCCTATATGCAATAAATGGTATTACATGGAGACAACTATTTATTTAGCTTTCAGAACATGCTTGTTGGGAAGAATCCATATGTTTACTAAATCTGACATTCCTCTAAATATCTATGACTCACAGGTTGGAAATAACAGGCTTATAAAAGACAATTTTGAAAATCAGACACATCTGGGTTTCAAATCTCTCTCACACACACACACACATATACACATACAAACACAAACAAGTATATATTACCTTGGGCAAGTCACTTAACTCTTTCAAACTAGTTTGCTCATTTTTAATAGCATTTCAGGGCAATTAAACAACATAACTTAGGTAAAACATGTACCACTCTGCTTGGCACATTGTAGCTACTCAATATCTCTTAGTTCCTACCCTTTCTCTTGCGAATATTTGAAATTTTAAAATTCCCAATGTATATATGAAAGCTGGGGTTAACTCAAAATATAATTTAGAGAACAAATATTCACTCCACAGAAAGGTTCACAGTAGGATTACTTCACACTACAAACTGTGCAAATGTATTTCATGTATTGCCCAATCTGCCAATTTCTCACATCTGATCACAACCCTTTTTGTGAACAGGGACAAGTGCCTCTAGATAACCTAGGAAACGAATACTTTGCATCTGATAGAATGCGTCTAGTTGGACGTATGATTTAAAACACGCTGATGCTTACTAAAGATCTGAAAGGAGAAATGGGCTTTGCAAATATGAGGTCAATACTCTACTAATCTGTTGGGGTCATTATAAGATTTTTCTGTTGGTTTATGAGGTGAGTATATATTGAAAATATCCAGTCGTGCAGTTGCACAAAACTGTCCTGCTAGTCTTAATTGCCGCTTCATCTCCCCGCTTTCTAATGTGGTGGAAGATATTTTTCAAGCAGCAGCATGTGGCTCAGCAGCAGACACCACAGGCACTTACGCTGGGAGTTTTGAAGCTTCCTGTATATGAGGATGCTGCTGCTGGGCTAGATTGTCCAGGCAACTGTAAATGCTGAGATTTTTACCTTCTATTCTTCTGTTCTTCCTGAATACTTCATCTCTGGGGGCAGTTTCTTTTTCTCTCTCTCTTTCTTCCCATAGAGCGCACTTGGGGATTGTCTACCATAATAAATGAGCGGTCTTTCAAATGAATGGTTTATCCACTTTGATCCTGGTATGTCCAATTTTAATGCTTTATGCTCTATAACAGTGGGGGAAAATGTCAGAAAGCAATTTCTAAAGAATTTGTATACTATTTACCTAGTAGGACAATAAAATCAAAAAAAGTTTCTCCCGTGTATGAATAGGAAAGAAACCAATCTACAACATCTTCATTTGACTCATTTTATAGTTTTGGTTTTGAGTGTACCTTTATTTGGTAGCTCTTTGAGAATCTCATATGTAGCCGTTAGAAAGCCAGCCATTTACTGATCAGTTACTTGGTGGCAAGCACTGTGCCAACCTCTGTTTATGCATTTAATTTTCACAGAAATGCCTAGGATGAAGTAGTCACTTTTATTCCCATTTTACAGATAAAGAAATTAAAGCTTAGCAAAGTTAAATGAGCTGCCTAAGGTCACTCAGTAAGGAGTAAGTCAGGGTTTGAACCCAGAGCTATGCACCCACATTATTTCTTGATTTTAACTGTTTTAGAAGTTTTTGATAGTAAATGCATGGTTTAGAAAAGGTTTGGGGATGGTATAATAAAGATTATTTTCTATAGTATAGCATTTGTTTGAGAATAGTTAAGACTGAATCCCGAGTCAGGAAATAAAAATGTATAGCATTAAATTGGTCAACATATATTCTCTTGATTTTCTTAGTTCAATAACAAAATTTCATTTCTTCAAGTAGAATGCTAAGGTATAGAAACAGGAAAGACAAAAGATTCTATGCATACATACATAAAAGTCTAATTTCAGGAGGGAATGTGTTAGGTTATATTTGAATAATACACATTTGAAATACAAAACAATTCAAAGTTTTCTTTAAAGGAGAAGAATAATATTTTCCATCTGAGTAAAAAATAAATAAGTCAATTAATTAATTAATTAATGTAAGGAACAAGTCACCCATGTCTTTGACCTTTTATGCAGTATTTCACCCCAGAATGTAATGGAAACACCAATATCATCTTAACTATCGTAGCACCAGCAGGCCTTTATGCAATATAAACTTTCTTTCTCCTTTTTTAATTCTCTTCCAAATTGAACCTAGGAAGGCAGAGATGGGTCCTTGATAAGGTTCCTTGAACTGCTGATTGCAGAAAAATCAGGCGAGATTTTCAAATTGACAATTTTTAGATTGACAATTTCATTCCATGGCTCCTTCTGCGTTTCTCTGCTCCGATTTTAATTATCACTTAGAATAAGTGTACTGGATATATACTTATCAACTGCTCATTTCCCCTGTGGACCACACTGTGGGTTACAAAATACAATTTCCATTTTGTCTGCTGATGGCCTAAATAAGGTGCATACAAAACAACAAGGATGGGCTTCTTAATTTAGCAGGGTAAAATGTTCATATAACAGTGGCCCTGGGGGCTAGATTCAAGAAGAAAGAGAAATAGATTCTACCTCAGTGGAGCTGAACAATTTCCAAAAGATTTAGCACACAAAAAACTGGGCCAACCCACACTATGAACAATTAGAAAAATTCTAACAATAATGTAATTTTTTAATATTCTTTAATACAGGGCTCCATGGCATACATGTAATTATATCTTATATGATATTTTAAGCAAAACTATCATAGGCACAAAAAGCGTTAAAGAAATATTAAGGATTCGAATAGCATGGCCAAGAAGGTATTAAAATATTTTGAACTATAAAATATAACATATATATAAAACGCATCATTTTATTTAATTCACAACATTAGCACCCTCAGTGTGTAAGTATAATCAATACTGTGATCAATATATTAATGTAAAAATATATGAAAATTAAAATTGTGAATAATTTCCTTCTATTTTTAAAAATGAATTTTCTCACTAGTGAACTATTTCTCAATCTAATTTCCTCTGAATACATGGCCTTTTTCCAATAACATGCAATATATATTATAAACCATAATTCTTATCATAATCATCACTGCAACAAGTATCAGCCAAATTTAGTGAGTTATCATTATCAGCTAAGTCCTAGGGATCCAGAAAGTTATACGATATGGTCAGGTTTTGGCAAATTAATGGGATAATGACTGTATATGGAAAAGATTTAAAAAGTCATACAAAACAATGGAAAAAGCATGGTGGTTATGGAATATCATAAGGGTTCATGAAGAAATTGGAACTTGAGGTGGACATTGAATTCTTAGGAATTCACAAACCTATGTAAGAATGCGGGGATACTTCACTCATATACTTTATGCAGTACAGCAAGAACAAAGACAGAATTTGCTTAAGCCCTTTGACTCCAAACAGTTTTGAGTAATAGGTGAAGAATTAAACATTTAATAAAGGGTTATGACTATTGACCTAAGTATGGTATTGGTACTTTATGTTGGAGGTAGTGAAGGATCACTGAAGGCTTTTGTGCAGAGGGAATGATACTTACAAGCTTTACATTTGGGAAATCCATTTATTAGAAGCCTGACATTACAGAGGAAGCTATAGAGAATAGCTAGGACAAAGAAAACTATGTCTTAAATGTAACGTTTTCGTTGTATGTGCTTGGCATTTTCTTATCCATACATGTTACATTTTCTTGTTTCTACACTTATGATCACATCAAAATGTGACTTGTCTATACTTGTGGAAACCAAGATAAATGACAATTTAACAGAAGAATGCAAGAGATATTCCAAAGACACCACATATCATCTAAAGAGAAGTAGACCTTAAGTATACTTCAGAGGACAGAGAAGATTTGATTATGTTGGGAGAGTGTCAGAGGAGAGAAGGCTTGTTGGGTCTGTACAGGTGTTCATGTCCCTATTTCTGTATCATGAAGGTTAAAAAGAAGTAACGAACAACTTATGTAGTTTAAATTGGACTTAAATGCATTGATTTTGTGCTGTTCTTGTCTATGTATCTTCCCAATTAGACACAAATCAATTTGCACTCTGAACGGTGTTTTGCAGTACCTGGGGTGTGGTTGGTAAAAAAACACTTTGACTACAATATATTGTTGACAAAAGAGGCATCTGCACTGACAAGGAAGAAATGATTGTATTATCTCAGTTGTACCTGAGATGTTTCTATATATCAATGAACACATGAAAATTATTTATGTCTACTACAACCCCACTATTATGGAACCATTCACTCTAAATAGACTTACTATTTATTGCATTTGATAGTACTGAGAGAGGCAACAACATAATTTATAGTGTAATATCAGTATATAAATAGCAACATAATTTATAGCGCAAGTAATATCAGTATAATCTCCAGCCTGACCAAAACCTAGTAACTTAGGTTTACAGCAATAAACACAATTGGATAAATTAAAGCCAATTCAGGTGTTCTGTATTATTTTCCCTTACATTTAAGAAGTATATGTATTTAAATTTCATTCTATGTGTTATTATTTTAAAAACTCATAATCAATGAAATAATTATATCTATTCACACAGAACTGAATTTCCTTAGGCTTTTGAAAATCTAATTTGACCACTTAAAACATCTCATTCATTCATTCATTCATTCACATATCCACTCCCCAAATATTTATTATTCAACGAATAAACACTGGTCACCTTGATGAACAGTGAGAAGTAAATAAATTTTTCATGGAACTTATATTTTAATAAGGAAAGACAGATAATCAATAAATGTATAGGATGTATAAGTCAATACATGAGATGCCTAATGGTAATAAAATATGTAAAAATAATAAAGCAAGATAAAGGGCATAGAAAGTGCTGGGGCTGTCATGAAGGGCTTGTAAGGCATGGTTTATTTTACAGAGAGTAGTTAGGAAAGGCCTCATTGATAAAATACCATTTGGGTAAAAAAGAAAAACTCTGAAGGAAGTAGTGACTCACACAGGAATAAAACTTTACTTCCCATATCTTTATATTAAAAATTTTCCTCGTATATTAGAAAATACTCCTTATCCCAAAATGAACACCATAACGATTTGTGACTAAATTTTCCAAAGTGTCTATTTGTAGGCTAACATGTCTTCTTGGTGTTCTGTCTGCCAAGATACTTAAGTGATCTTATACTTCAGCTTAATGAACACTTAAGTTCTTACCCTACATAAGACTCTTTTTGTCTGCCCAATAACCATTTCTCCAACAACTCTTAGAAGCATTTTACCTTTCCTTTGGGAGTTGAGCATTCCTCATTCTGAAATGTGACCCAGGTCTGGTCAATCAGGGTGGCCAACTTCTTCCAGCTCCAGAAACTGACTCAGAAAATGCTTATGATACAAGAGAGGTCAATCAGAATCTCTAAGTGTCAGCCCAGATGTTGTGGGTGAAACTATGGAAATATGTACTCCTTTTTGCCAGATTTCCTTATCATTAGATATGTACTTAGGATGTAAGCCTGAAGTTTCTGAAGTTCAACTTGTCAGTAAGAGAAAAGACAGTGTCAGAAAAAAAGCCAAAGGAGAGGAAAGCAGATTCGAGAACTGTACGGGAATCCCTGACAGTATTGTTTCAACAGCTAGATCCAACTAGGCCTGAAGCTGCTACCCATAGACTCTATGAGATCCAACAAATTACCATAGTTCCACTAACTATTAGGATCACCTTTATTATACTCACAAGTAGAAGCCTCATAACTAACACAAAGAACCAGCTACCTCAATTCTACTTACTCTACAGTTTTTAAAAGAAAGAAAAAAAGATATATGACAGTAAGAATGGCTGTTTCACTATCCTCTCATCAGCCTGCTTTTTATGCATTTCTTTGTGATGATGATCATTTGGTTACTTTTGAGTAGCAAAATATAGTTTTTATTTCAGCTCAATAAATATTTTATGTGCACTTAAATGTATAAGAAACTTACCTTGCACTGGGAACATACAAAAATGAAACAAGACAAGTTTCTCATTCTGAACACACGGTATTGAGCTTGCATGACTCACAGTGTGCAAATTGTATAGCCAAAATAAAAAAAAATACTATATAAATCCTATGAGTACTATTTCCCCCATTAGATATTAAAAACACTGAAGCCATGAATTGTATTGTTTTTCCCTAAGTTTCATCTCTAACACTTGTGTCTAGATTATTAATATTTGTAGAATACAACACATATTTTTCTTTGAGGCCTATCAGTCTGGAAGTGTCTTCTCGGGACAACTGTTAAAACAATGTGCAATTGCGACCGTGGTTACCTCTCATTCAATTAGTAACTT
Source organism: Homo sapiens (assembly GCF_000001405.40). Taxonomy (NCBI): domain Eukaryota; kingdom Metazoa; phylum Chordata; class Mammalia; order Primates; family Hominidae; genus Homo; species Homo sapiens. The sequence goes on along the minus strand of NC_000004.12, from coordinate 181,265,923 downwards.
TATCTGCTAATAAATGATTTTTCATTCATATCTGGAAGACCTTGAAATCCTCCTAAACAATACATTTATAATGATGCAGTGATGGTTTTGAGATAAAGTATTCTGCAACAATGTCTTTTAGGAAAAAAAAAAGATTCTTATGAGAAAAATAGAGAAACAAAATATAAGTCAATATACTAAGATTAAGAACATAGATATGTATTTTCTCTTCCTTCCCACATCTCATTCTTTCTGTAATAAAATGATCTCAGCACTCGCACTGCCTTCTGATTACAGCAAGATTGCAAGACTTCTGCAGCTTTCCTACTGCAGAGCTATTTCTAATACCACACTGATCCTGAAATGTTTGCCATCTCCTTAAAGCACCTGCTGTAACTCCCGGCCATACTCTTCTCCCCACTTTAAAAACTAGATCTAACCCAACCATCAGGCTAAAAGTAGGAAATACAACAGTTTGAAGAAATGCAAAAATTTATCTTGTATTCTATTAAACGGCAGGCACTGCTGAAATAAGTTATGCCTAGGCACTTGGGTTCGGGTAAATCAAGTAACATGATATATTTTTTACGAAGGGGCTGTTTTAGCAAACTGGGCAGACCTACTGCTCTGATTTCTCATGCATTGTTTTACTCTCATTAAAATGTTTTTGGTTATACGTCATTATCTTTTACTTATCCACTAATGGTCTACAGACACACAAATATCAGGCAGGTGAAGTCTTCCCCCATCCCCCTCCCCCAATCCCGCTGCACCACTGCAGGCCTGGGTAGTAGCAAACACACCGATCTGCGCCCTGTCACTGGTTTAGGAAGCTGAGCCCCAGCCGCTGAGCCGTTTTCTACCGGCTGAAGCACGCATGCTTCCTTTGCTTCCTTTGCTTCTGCAAGGGAACAATGAGCAAGTGCATGTGTGGGAACCCTCCTGCCTGCTGGGCGCTCAGCTAGGAGTCCCAGAATACCAGACACCATTATATTCAAATGTAAGTACCAAAAGTCATTTTGACTTGAATATAAATTATTCTAGCTGCCATGTTGGATCACCGGCACTACTGCTCCTCTTCATTAGCAGTGATAATTGAGCAATGACTTTCTAGGTGCTTAAATCACAGTATGATTAATGGTGTATGTACCTATCTTGCTTGCAAGCTCCCTATTTGAAGGAGATTTTTCTTTTACATTTAATTATCTTCATCATCTTCAAACACGAAACACTCAAAGCACTGTGCTTATAAAACCTGGAGACCAACATTTTTAAAGCGTCTCTTGACCGGTCCATCACTTTGCCACTGGTGTTTTCAAGGTACCTTACAAGACTTATTTAATAAGAAACAAGAATGAATGCTACTGAATGAGACAGAAGAAATGCAAATTGCTGCTATTTCATTCCTTAAATTGCATACCACTTATATTCTTCTCACCTATCTTAATGTTGGTTTATAGGGTTCCTTTATTAGGATATGAGATTTAGAGTGTAGAGTTTGTGATTATTTTTCTAAGTTATTTTCGGGCGCTACCATTAAGATGAGAAGCCAAAATAATCAGCTAGAGATTGAGCTGAATTAGGAAGAGATAGTTGCTTTTTTCCCCCTTTAAATCCCTTCCTGTGTATGTCTAACAGTGCAGTTCTACCCAGAACACTCCCAGCATCTGGCCTATCTTGCATTCAATTCACCCAAAAGTTATAAAATGTATAATTAACGATGTGGCCCTATATATAGCACACTGACACCTTCACTAACTTAAATCTATAGCTTATAGGTGAAAGTAAATAGAATAAGTTATAGGTATTATTAGCATATGAGACCAGTCTGAAGAAAAACATACAAAAAGTAAAATGTCACACTTCCTTTTCTCTCGTATTTTATATTTTGAGAATTTTAAAAATTGCTAAGTGCAGTAACACTTAGAAGAAGCCACATCTGATGGGACGGTTCTTTTTTATGCTTCTTAAAAGAAAAAGAGCCTTTGTTAATGTGCTTTCCTTATTACTCTAATTTTCTGTTGGCAGATCCCTGCTCTCAGACCCCTGTAGACCTACTGGTTCTGGAAAAAAGCTTTCTTCTTCGGTCCCCTGAGTAGGCTAGTGACAACTGAAAACATGCAGGTAAAACTAACACAGAATGGTCGTTTCAGAGCCAATTTTTTGTGGTGGCAAAGATGTGCCAGCAGGTTTGCTCATGCTGCTGGGTCCAGGGAACCTTTTTGACAGAGTCCCCACCCCCTCTTGCCTAAATCAGTAGAAATGATTTGGAAATCCTTTTGGGGAATTATTTCATTTTCATTTTGCTTTGCTTCCCCTTATTCTTCTGAAAGCAGCATTTACATGCTCCCTGCTCAAATTTATAAGAGCAAAACAAAACTTACATAACTCAGAAAGTCAGTAAATTCTTATTTCGTTGGCAAAACGAATCACCTGTTTCCTTGACTCAGTTCAGACCAAAATTAAAAGCACTCAGACATCCTAATAAATACCAGAGCAATGGGCATTTACAAAATCATTGAATGGAAAAGACAGAAAGAATGGTTAAAAAAAATTGTAACCTGCAATAGGACCATCCTTAAATATATTAATAGTATTAAAGATTTATTTTGTTATTCAGTCTTCTACAATGTCCCTGTGAGGTTGAGTGCCTCCCCATTTTATGGTTGAAGAAACCAAGACTCGGAGATGATAAATAATTTACTCCAGTTATATTGCTGGTAAGAGAAAGAGCCAGAATTCATACTAAGGTCTGAGTTAAGTCCAGGTTTTCTACATGTGATATCGATAGTATATTTAAAACAACTAGCATGATGAATATTTTGTACCTAGCTAGAGTATTTCTAGCTGCTAGAGATTGGGAGAAACTCATATCTATGTATTATGAAACTTCACATTCAAACCTATAATTTAAAGAAAAATATCGTCATGTTACTAGGATAAAATTTCACTTTTTCTCTTCATGGTAATTTAATTTTAACTAGTAGTTATCAGCCATAATACCCTGTTTAGTTTTAACTAAAATAAGAAATCAAGAAAGTAAAGAGAATTTGAAGCTTAGAATAAAAAACCCAAATGTTACCACTTATAAATTAAACACAAACACAAAAGAATGTGATAAAATCGGGACAACATCTAACAGTAGGAATAGTTGGTTGACTACGCTTTTACTCCTATCTAAATTGATGTCATATAGGTGGTCCCAAACACAGATAAGGGCTCCCCCAGTTTGGATAAGAAGTCTGATTATGCTGTGCATCCCTGGATAGTCCTGCCAGACACGAGGATATGCACAAATGCCCATCAGAAGCAAGACTATTTTACATCATTGCACACACACTCACACGCACACTCATACACGCACACTCACAAAGACATCCAAACAAAACATGCCACTAGCGCATGAAGTGAGGCATTTGATGGTGTGGACAAGAAGCCAAACTTTTCCACTTACTAGCAGTGTGACTTCCATCACTCCATCTCCTCCGTGAGCCTGGTCCATAAATTCAGCACCTCATAGCACCAATCTCACACACATGGATGGTCATCAGGGGCTCAAGGAACGTGAAGCTCATGGAACATTCTATAATCATAAACACTCTTCAAATACAATGATTGTTGTCATGGCTGTTACTTATTTCTGAAACTCCTGCTATGATACTGCTCCTGAAACAGCTGGCTACCAGGAAGAACACCTGTCATCCCTAATCCACTGGTCCAGAACACTTTCCTCCATACAGAGCAGGTTTTCATGATTGGATGATTACCCTGCATGGCTGGCAACAAACTCAATTACTGTATTTTGAGAAATCAGCCATAAATTGGAGGTTTCTTATATGCAAAGTGCATAATGAGATGAAAGCCTACTTGAAACTCATCAGAGGCGCAACAATACTCTGACTTTTAATAAAGGCTAAACCAGGGCAGGTGGAAGGGGGAACATTTAGATAAACATATTTTAGGGTAGACAAATGGAAAAAGTAAAACAGCACTATTTTAATAATTATAATTACAGGATGATTCTTTTATCAGATTTTGGAATGAGCTGGTTTCCTTTAGAAACAACCAACAACAACTCTGATTTCTTTTAATGTTTTCTCTTTTTCTAAAAAATAGCCTTTTTCTCTGTCTTGAAGAGAGGTCATAAATCCTGAGTTCTATCCAAGAGAAGCCTGAGCTTCAAGCTTTTTCACCAACACAGTGTATTAAAATGCTTTAAATTAAGGAACTCTTGTATTTAATCTACAAACCTATAGATTAAATACAAAAGAGTTCGATCCATTTCCCACCTCCCAATGCCATACAGCAATGGTTACTTTTTAAACTGCTCAAAAAAGATTCTGAGATCTTAATTTTTTGTTTTTTTCCTTGAGCAGACCACAAAAGATGTGAGAATTCAAACTGAGCCATAGCTCCATCTCCTGGAAGTGTATATCAGCAGCAACAAGAGTAAAGACCCAGAGGCATGAGAAACACTTCCTCACTGAAGCACTCACGTTCCGACTGTGTGCAAAAGACCTTTTGTGTCTCACTCACTGAGGGAGATTGTTCTTCACTCAATCAATGAGAAGAACAGACGTCTTAGAAAACCTTCAGTACCTGGGGGAAATGAATGAGCTCAAACACAAGGGAAAGTCAGCCCGTGTTCAAGATAAGCCCATCTCAGGAAGGCAGGCACCATGCTCCTGAGACTACTTTACCCCCAGATAAGAAAGCCCTTATTGATAAGCCAAAATCACAGATTATTTTATTAAGCTCATATTTTAAAAGAATGCAAAGCTTCCTTTAATGTTACTTTCCATTATAAATGTAAAATTACAGTTTGCACATAATATCTGGATTCTGGTTAACTATTTTCCATACTGTATTTTGCAATTGCATATCTGCATTTCTATTTTTATATTAAAAAATAAATAGGGTTATGCAAATAATATTTCTAATTGTGCATATTTATGTATTTATATTAAGTTTTAGTATGTCTGCTTGCTCACATAATTTATCTTCTCTTTATGTATAATTTCATTTACTTACAATAACTAATTATTAGGGAAACAAATAAAATCTTTGAGAAATTACCAGAGGTTAATTCATAAGTGCTTTATCTTGCTTCACAGATAATCATATACTTTATTTCTAAACTTTGAAATGTTATTGTCCATATTGTTTCTTCGTACTTACAAAAGTAAGAAATTGGATTGTAATGTTTCCAATTTATGTTGTCATGCTTTCCTCTCTTTAATATAACTTGAGTTTATGTAAAGTTTGAGCGGTTCAAGTTATTTCCAAAAATATAATAGGAGCCCCACCCTTCTCAGTTCTTTCACACTAACACTTTTATTGACACATTTGGAATGGGGAAGGATGTAAGCCACACTAGTCAATTTGGATCAGCTGTTTATTTACAATTTACTCCAAAGATTTAAGTAAGCAAAGTCAGTGAGCAATTGAAATTGTTTTCCTACTCTCTTTTATTCTTTTTTTTTTTAAAAAAAAAAAAAAACAACAGCCATTTGAATGAATTTTTTTACTCTCCTGATGTTTCTCTCTGTTTCCACACTGAGCGCCTGATAGAAGCTGGACACCTGCTTGCCTTCAGGCTATTCCATGTTCTTTAAAACTGTGCTGAATAGAGATTGAGTTCAGCTTCCTATATCTATAATCAGTGTCTGATTTGGAAACAGAAAAAAAGCTTTATATAACTATTAATAGTGGGTGAACTGGAGCCAGCACTTTGATATTAATAAAATAAACACAATACATAATAAAGCACAAAATCCAATTTATTCAATGTAATTGAGAATATGGCCCCCTGGCAAGATGAATATTGTGAGAAAACTAAAAATCAGTATATACTACTTGATTTTCAAGGAATTAAATATGTGTAGACTACACTTAACATTCAAATTAGCTTGACTCTGATGTAATATCACGTTGATGCTTCAGAAAGAATATTTAGGGCCTCAGGATCATTATAATGAACACCAGTGTCATGGTAGAACTACTAAAGGACTAGAAGATAGACGCTATTACACTAATTTTGTCCTGAAATCAGGACATATTCCTTTAAAAATATTTCTGGATATCTGTTTCTGTGCTTATTATGTGTCTCTTTTTCATAAAAGTTAAGTGGAGAAGATATGTGTATAAATCCTATTTCTTTGGGGCTACATAGAGTTTGGATAAAATGGGGATAGGCTTCATAGCGAAAGTTTACACCTGAAGTCTCCCCATCTCGTGTATGGCTTTGCTTGATTAACATACTTTGCTCAATGGCCATAAAGGAGCACGCATTTTAGGTTAGAGTTTTCTGTTGGCTTTTGATGATTGGCTTGCAGCCAAAGCACTTATCCTGCTATTCAGGATATATTGTAGAAAACCATATAACTGCACCTAAGAGTCTTTAATTGCTAATTGTTCCTAATAACTGTTTAGGATATAATGCAAACAACAATACATGATGTCAGTTTGAATTTCAAGGTTGTTATTCAATCCCAAGTTTCTGCTGTGTTATGATCTCTTCCTGTGGTTAATGATGTCTGGAAAACCCTCTGTGGAATAACAACCCTGGCTTGGGTAAGGGGCAAAGTCTGCGTTAAAAGAATAACAATAGAAAATAGAGGTTTGAGTAATAGCTACTGTGAGTTGGAATGCAATAACAAGCATTGTACAAAATGAAATAAATGGCCACTTTTGTGCTTCCAATTATAATACACATCTCTGTAACTATTCAGAGATTAACTGTGCTGCGGATTAGCTATAGAATTTGGAATTATCTTCTACATTGTCATGTGCATCCAAAGTGTCCTGTTATGCTCCGGGAATCAGGGAATCACTTTCTCCAGGTCTTATTCTTAAAGGACTGAGACAAGCTTTCATTATTTCTGAGGATGCTCATTGATCTCCCTTCTACTCATAGTGGCTCAACCCAGAACATGGAAGCCTTCTTATAATAGGCAATGGCAAAAATGTGATGGGGCCAAGCTCTGGCTAGCTAATAACTCTTCAAGTACTTCTCCCTCTGTTCTGCCTGCAATTTCAGTAAGATTTCTAGCACTTGGAGTTTAAATGTCCTCTAGCCCTTTAGAAGCTGGCATCTAATTGCTTCTTCACGTTGCCAAATGACTGAGTGTTTTCTCTATTGACATGGTTCCTGCCAGACTTTGGAATACACAGTAAGCAGGATAAGAGAGACAAGAGAAGCATAAAACTCGCTCAGAGGAGGATTAGAGCACAGCTGGGAGTCAGAGAGTCAGTAGAAGGGGCAGGAAAACAAAAGCCAAGAAAGAAAAATGAAAAACTGTAGATTGCACAAAAGAAAAGGGAAGCAAGACCAGAGTGGATTGCTGGTAGAGAGATACAAGGCCTGCTGTGTCTGAGAAATATTTAATGGAAGCATCTCTATATGTGGGTGTGCTATTGTGTATGTTGATACATGCAAAACAATGTCCCTTCCTTACCTACCTCCTTTAATCACAAAAAAGCCCAATGTAGTATTTGGTTCATCATTCCCATTCCACATTATTCCTTATTATCTAATTTTGGTAGATTGCAAAATGGCTACAGTCCTTCACTTTTCCTTGTTTCCATGCCTTTTGCTCTGGAATTTAGAAGCTCCTGCCATTAACAAACAGATTCTACTTTCCTTCCCCTCGAATCTGAGTGGCCTATTGACTTTCTTTGGCCCATACCCATAGAAAGTGGAGGAAGTGATATTGTGCCTTTATTTCATGCTCCTACTGGCTTTCTTGGAGTTCTACCCAGCTGCCCTATGAACAAGCCCAGCCAACCTGCTGGAGGAAGAGAGACCATGTGGAACTGAGAAGAGTTCTCCTAGTAGACGTGATCCTAGGCTAGTCAGCTCTCAACTGGCCTGACTGCCGACTGAAGATGCTTGAATCAATTCAAATGTAACCAGAACTGCCCACCTGAGCCCTGCCCAAATTCCTGAAAAAGAGACTTACAGGTTAAATGAACGTTAATCCTATTAAGTTTTGGGATGATTTATTATGCATAAAAGGCTAACTTCAGCAATAGCCAAGTTATGTCTCTTGAATAGGTAAACAACTTTTGTGTGGTAATAAGTATATTGTTAAATCCATATTTGAAATTTGTTTTTTTCTTACAATTGTCTTATATCAATCTCCAAAGAACCTTACCTAAACAGCCGGATGTATTAATCATATTTGCGGTTCAAGATAAAAGAGTTTGAAAGGAATCAATCTGTAATTCTTGCTTTTTTCCCAAAACTTTCATTAAGACTATGTCTATTGCACAACATAAAGCCAATTATGCATTTATTTTTTCGATATAGAGAACCATTTTATAAAATATAAGGCCTTTTGGTCTCGACTCCTAGCAGGTACTCTTAAGACTTGGATTTTAGGAGAATGTACACTTGGGGAAAAGAAATACCAGTATTGATTTTAACCCTAGTGAGTTTCTACCCAACCCATTCATAAAAGAACCAAAACTTCTGAAAGATGGTTTTAGATGGTTAATCTACTATCACAGCAAACAGATCTATCTTCATCTCATCTATGTTCTTCATGGCACCTGAATAATTTAAGGATACAATAACTACTTTAAAAATTATTAGGTCAACCAACACCAGGCAGTCAAGCAATTTATTCATCATTGGGAAGCCTCTTGACCCCAATGGCTCTGACAATATACAGAGATGGTAATGACATTACCTAATTCTGTCACGCGCAATTAATCTAGATTTTTTCTCCATGATTAAAATGGAAATTACTCGCAACTTAGAATTGCTGTTGAATAAAGGGTTACAAATTCCACCTGAGTTACAGAAATTATACCATATGCTTATGAGCAGTAACTTGGTAGAGTTTCTTCTGTTAAAATAATGTAGAAAAACTGGTCTTGGACACAGCAAAGACTAATATTAAATGGATGAAATCGCAGTAAATTGTAAAGGTCTCTGTTTCAATCAGGATCTAGGTGGGAAATAGATGCACACTCATATTGAGTAATGGAAGAGAGTAAAGGCACAACTTTCAAAGGTGTGGGTGGCAGCTTCATCGAGGTACTCTGGGACTAGTAGTAGTAGGGAGCATTATTGAACCCTGAGGCCTGAAGAGGTAAAGAGGGGGAACAGTTTCTGAACCCCAAAAGAGCTGTTTTGAGAGGGCCACCTACAAGGAACTGTGGTGTCCTCAACCAGCCACCATGAAGTGACCTGGATGACCTGTCAGGAGGGAACCAGATACCCTGGCTTTATTCCCTTCCCATCCTTCATCTGTCAGTGCCTCTCATTAGCTAAACCCAATGAAAGCCTAAGGAAAATGATATCCGTCAATTACTATACATTCAGGCCCTGCAGCCACCTAAGACACAGAGCAGAGTGGAGAAGGGTGGGGAAAGGTGAGTAATGGTTCAGAGGCTTGGATGGAAGTGACCAGTTCATTTACAAAGAATGAGAGTTAAAATGACATTTTTATTATTTTATTTTTGTTATTACTTTATTTTTCCCATAAGTTATTGGGGTACAGGCAGTATTTGGTTATATGAGTAAGTTATTTAGTGGAGATTTGTGAGATCCCGGTGCACACATCACCCAAGCAGTATACACTGCACCATATTTGTTGTCTTTTATCCCTCACCCCCCTCCTACTCTTTTCCTCAAGTCCCCAAAATCCCTTGTATCATTCTTGGGCCTTTGAGTCCTCATAGCTTATCATCCACGTCATTGCAAATGCTGTTAATTCATTCCTTTTTATGGCTGAGTAGTATTCCATCATATACATACCACAGTTTTTTAATCCACTCATTGACTGATGAGCATTTGGGTTGGTTCCACGATTTTGCAAGTGTGAATTGTGCTGCTATAAACATGTGTGTGCAAGTATCTCTTTCGTATAATGACTTATTAAAAATACATTTTTCATGAGTTTTTAATTCTTTGAGAATTGTGGGGTATTTAACTTAGGGAACTACTGGCATATATGTTTCTATTAACATTTATAAATGTTTATCAAAGAGAATTATAAAAGATTGGAAATGGCTGGAATCATGAAAAACAGAGTGGGATCCAAACACATATTTCATCTACAGTCAATTCTCAATGTTCTTAAAGAAGTATTTTTATTATTACCTCATAGGTTCATTGCATTTTCCTCATTATTATCATTCTTTTATACTTTACTTATTATACTTTTATACTTTACATATTTTACTCTTATGAGTAAAACAATTTTTTTTTTTTGCTATGGAAATCTATAGAATTATTCAAGTCAGACGAGCATGGTGGCTCACGCCTGTAATCTCAGCACTTTATGAGGCCAAGGCAGGTGGATAATGAGTTCAAGAGTTTGAGACCCGCCTGGGCAACATGGCAAAACCCTTTCTCTACAAAAAATACAAAAATTAGCTGGGTGTTGAGGTGCATGCCCGTAGTCCCAGCTACTCTGGAGGCTGAAGTGGGAGGATCACCTGAGCCTGAGAGGTCGAGGCTGCAGTGAGCCATGATCGCACCACTGCACTCCAGCCTGGGCGACAGAGCCAGGCCCTGTCTCAAAAAAACAAACCAACCAAAAGAGTTATTGAAGTCACTGAAAGGAAATGCATCAACTCATTTTTGGTCTCATTTTGGTTCTGCCTGTAACATGCTTCTAACCTCAGGCAAGCTGATCAACATTTTCGGCCTGAATGTTTTCATCCATATTAGTGAAGATAATAATATTCTCCACCTCATAGGGTTGCTGTGAAGGTGGCAAGAATTCTTCAAGTAAGGCCCTTAAAATTGTGTTGGCACATGGTAAGCACCCTACAAATGTGAGCGAGCTGTAGTACTAATGTAGAAATGTCGACTATAATTTCTCTCATTTGATGAGTTTTTTTGTTCCTGGGAAGAGCTAACCGGCTGTTTGTGTATTTTGCTGTTTGGTAAGACTATAAATGTGACTTGGGCTTCGGCCACATAAACCACCTTCCCTAAACCCTTAGCTGGGCATGAGTCAGTCAGGCAATAAGGTTAAGAGAGAAAGACAGATCCGTTTAATCTGGGGTTGTAAGTGGTTTTAAGATCAGATTTTACTACTTAGCATGGTTTGGCAAGCAGAATAGAAGGATACAGGGCCGTGTGTGGAAGCTGACTTCCCTACAGCCAGTTCACAAGGCCCCTGGTTCCTTTATTTAAAGCATCCACCAATAGTGCCAACACACACCCATTTGAAAATCTCAGAACTAACACTTATTTCCAGTCAGAACACAAGATTGGTGGATTTTAAACGCAGAGCCGTAACTACTCCCTGGGTGCTCTGATCTCCCGGCAGGACTTCCTTCAAATCCTCTCCTCGGGCCGAGCTCCGTCCCAGCTCATTTCAGATGCTCTCTGACTCCTGCAGACAAAACACCTTCCTCGATAGAAATAGATTATTAGCTTTCTTTGTTTGCAGGCAATCAAACACCGTAAGAACTAAAAGACAGATAATCAGCTAATTGAAGCCTTTTCCACCAAATAACAGAAGAAACTGAAAGAATATTGATTGAGGGAGAGAAATGAAGGTAAATGTACAAGTACTTTATTGGAATTAGAATTCTCCATTTGAGGGCTATTGTGAGAATGTATCAACTTGTTTTGGGATCATCCTTACTTCTCTCCAAAATCAGAGATAATTGAGTGTACTCTGTGGAACTGTCACTCAGGTATTAATGTGACTTTTTTAATATTCTTTGCACGTCTCCTTTGAGCTGCAGTCATTGGGTCCGAGATAGAAAACCACAAACTACCTTTGCTCCTTGTTAAGTTTGCACTTTGCCATCTACTCCATCACTAAAAATATTGGTGCCTTCTGTCTAATAAGTGAATTTGATGGAATAATTGAGGGCTTTACTATTACCTTAGTCAGTGAAGGGCCTTTCAAACTGTCTGAAAGAGTAGGGGCACAGGGAGGAAGAGAGACATGTAGTGATAGCTGGAAAGAAAAGCTAAGAGAAATCAGAGTAACAGACGATAAGCAACAGGGTGCGTAGAGACCACAGAGGAAGGGCAGGCAGCAGTAAGCTGGGCAGGTGGGAGGGTGAAGGAAGCTGGAAGTTTTGAGGTCTTTGAGACCTAGGAAAGCCAGAGTCACCACTAATCTTTGTTAAGTAATAAGAATAAAGGACTTGTTCCTCCTGCCATGACAAGCGCAACACCAATAGCTTTCGCTTACATAGCAATTAGTACACGCCAGGTGTTATTCCAATTTATATATATACATATATATATATATATACACACACATATATATACATATATAATTACGATATATAATTATATGCTCTTCTCAATAAATCTATGAGGTAAACACTATTCTTGCCCCATTCTACACATGAGGAAACTGAGGCACAGAAAGGTTAAGTAGCTAGTAAATGTTGGACAATCGCCTCCAGGGTCTAAACATTTTTACTTTTTTTTTTTTTTTCTGAGATGGAGTCTCTCTCTGTCGCCCAGGCTGGAGTGCCCCGGTTGGATCTCAGCTCACTACAAGTTCTGCCTCCCAGGTTCACACCATTCTCCTGCCTCAGCCTCCCTAGTAGCTGGGACTACAGGCACCCACCACCACACCTAGCTAATTTTTTGTATTTTTAGTAGAGACAGGGTTTCACCATGTTAGCCAGGATGGTCTCGATCTCCTGACCTCGTGATCCACCTGCCTCAGCCTCCCAAAGTGCTGGGATTACAGGCGTGAGCCACCGTGCCCAACCTAGGATCTAAACTTTTAACCACATTTTAAAACGTGTTGTTAAGTGTTATATTATGAAATCGGGCAATGGTATCTGAGTGTGTAATGTGTATGTAATCACTAAAAGTGGGAGCTACAAAGAAAATACACACGCGTACATTCACATAAATAGAAAAAGACCCTTGGAGACAATTGCTTTATTATTTTAGATGGAAATGTTATGTGAGAAGAAATACGAGAAGAAGTGACAATCATCACAAAGTAAAATACTAACACTTTCAACAGGCTGTATGCCATGTCATAAGGAAAGGAACACTCAACATCAGGTTAGATTATATGGAAGACTTACTGGAGGAAGTAAGTTTTAGAGTAAAATCTCAAAAGCCACAACCAAGAAAGTAGAAGGTCACATATAGAAGACAGATGATATGTACAATGAATTGAATGTTTCTGTCTCTTCAACATCATAGGTTGAAACCCTAATCACCAAGGTGATGGTATTAGCAGGCACGGCTACGGGGGATGATTAGGTCATGTGGGTGAAGCCCTCATGAATGGGGTTAGTGCCTTAGGGAACCCATTTATCCCTTCCACTATGTGAGGACATAGCAGGAAGACACCAAATCTGCCAGCACCTTGCTCTTGGACTTCCCACCTTCCAAAACTGTGAAAAGTAAATTCCTATTACTTCTAAGCTACCCAGTTTATGGTATTTTGTTATAGTGACCTGAAGAGACTGAGACAATATGGAAGGTGTACTCCTGCCAGACATTATTCTTTATGACCCAGGTTTTCTCTTAATTAGCTATTTAAATTTAAGCCAATTAGTTAACCTTTCCAAGTTTCAGTTTCCTCCTCTATAACATGAAAATCCGTTTTACAGTTGAGGTCATACCTAACTCATAAGGACTCAGTGATGCATACAAAGTCCTTAGAATCTCATCAGGAATTGTAGTTCAGTAAATGGAAGCTAGCTATTAATAAAGGTAGAACAAATGGACTTGGCTTACATTGAGCACAGCATGAAAAATGGTAAGAAATAAGATTTGAGAACCCAGATCCTGGAATACTGGATACTCAATATACATTCATAATTGAATGAGTGGGTGGGAGATCTAATGGGTTTAATTGAGTTGGAGTTAGAGGGAGGGCCTATCAAATTGGCATACGAAGGGTTTAAACAAGTAGATGATGGTACAGTGGTAGTAATGGCAAAGCAGTTACGGTGTCTGGATATCACCAAAGGGGAGATCATGAACTCACTGGCAAATGGCACATTTAGAGAATCTCTGATTTAACTTTCAGATATTTTAAGTTTGCTTGAGAAAATGTATCAATGGTCTAGAAAAACAATTTGTAATTTATATTTCTCTTGGCCCAAAGACTTCTCCCAGGTAGATTTAGGCAGGGAAGGTCAGAGGGAGGCTGACATGGCAGGGTCAGGCAATCCTCAACCTCACTTAGAGCAGCTTTCACTTTTAACTGTCGTGTATGTTGGCATTACCCTTAATATTTCATTTGAAAATAGATTCATCTGCTTATATTGTGGAAAGAACAGACCTAGAACACTTTGAAATGCAGATTTCTAGTATCTTTGGGGACAAAGAACCACAACAGACAGTCACCTGGGCCAACCACCCATTTGAGCTGAGTCCCTTTCTCTTCAGCAAGATGTCATATAACGACACACCCTTCCACTCAGTCATGTATTCAGTAAACATTTATGGAGGGTCCTCTATTCTATGAACCAGACCGTGAGACCCTGTGCTGGAAGTTGAGGATACAATGAGACCCTGTGTCTCAGATTCCCAGCATAGTCCCAGTTTATACTTGTCCCAGTGTCATTGATAAAATTGCTCCATTTTTTCTCAAAAGTATTTCAGATAGAATGACAGATTATAGAATCACAGTACCTCTAGGGCATATTAAATACTTGGGAATCAGGTGTCCTAAGTCACTGAAGTTTTCTGGGGGAGGTATAGCTATGCTGAGAGTTGACTTATGAAAAAATCATTTTGGGCTGCAATGTGGCAAAAGAATTTGAGTACGGGCAATAATGAATTAAAATATGCAGAGATTCAAGTCAGAGTTTGTGAAAAGCAGGATAGAGATGACTTGTCTGAAACATACATAGGAGATAGAATTAATGGGGTTTGGTGAGTGATTAGTGAGATAGGAGAGGGAATTCTTCCGTGGTTTTGCATTTTAGCTGCTGACTGTGCTATTTGCCAATACCGGAAGTGTTAGGGAAGGAACAAGTTTGTGATAAGATCCATGAGTTTGGTCTTAGATACCTGAATGGATTGCCAATCAGGCTGTTTACTCTCCTGATGGGAGACAGTGGTTCCACATATCCTCTTTATGACTGGAACACCAACGTGCTATCTAGCAAGTTGTAGATGTACATTTGGGGAAGCCATGGGAATCAAAGAAATAATCCAAGTGGAGAGTCAAGAGTGAGAGAAAAAGACGACTAGGGCAAGGGTTAAGGAAGTCCTGGGTTTGACAGTGGAGTAAAACCAGGTTAGATAAGGAGACTTAGGTCCAGGCTCCAGATGGGAGAAAGGAAAATGAGATCACATGGAAATTAAGGGATCAAGGAGGCAGTGGGTCAAGGGTGAGATATTTCTAAGAGATCAAATAAGACAACAAAAAATGAGCAAATCAGCAACGTGAAGCCATTCCTTACCTTAGTTAACTAAAACATTTCATGGAATGGTAGGAGCAGAGACTGGTTGGGGTAGAGTAAGGACAGAGTGCACAGGAAGGACAAGGAATGCTCTCAGGTCTTTGGGAGGAAGATGGTAGAAAGGCAGTGAGAAATAGGGCTGCATTTGGAGGGAGACATGGAGTTGAGTGAAAACCTTCTAATAGACAGGAGGGTCACATTTTAAGGCCAATGGGAAGAAGCAACTAGGAAGGGAAAAGCTGATGATGAAGAATAGATGACTGACAGTGCAAAGTTCTTGAGCTAGTTGGGTGTGCAGTCAAAGAACAGGGGAATGACTGACTTTAGGAGCAAAGCTACCTCCTCTATAATAGGAGGGAGGAAAGAAAGGGTAGGTGGGGAAGCAGCAGAGTGTGGATTTGGCAGTAGGGACTTGAAGTGGTTTCCCATATGAATCCACTCCCAGGAAAGTTACTATTTCTAAACCAGAAGTCATAAGAAGTAACACAATTGCAATGAACCTACTCTGAGTTCAGAAAAGTGCTGCATACACTCTGATATGACATGCAGCCAGTGATAGATGACGGGCATCCTGAGAACAGATGTTTAATTTCATTCATCTTCTAATTCTCTAGTGTCTAGCAGGGTGCTCTGAACATAGGAGGGCCTGAATTGAATGGTGGTGAAATGTGCCATCCTGATGACAATCAAAACACAGTTTCCATGTCTAGATCTACAAGATCCTATAATTGCCAAGGTCAGAATAGAATTCTTAAAGCAACCAGGCAATTCACATAGGAATCTTGGGGATCCTTTGGCCTGCGCCTTCCAAGCATCTCTAAACTAACCAGGCTAGTTCCTGAAGCACTCATCTATGTTCCCATGGCACCTGGAACAAGCTTTCACTAGAGCAGTGACACTGTAGCACAATTACATTTGCTTGCTCAGTATCCTTCACTGTCACTAGACTGTGAGCATTGTGAGAACAGAACCTATGACTTGATGTCATTAACAATATTCAAAAGACTCATTACAGTCAACTCATTTAATTCTCTATGCAACATTAGGGGTACTAAACTTGTTCCATTTTCCCCTTAAGGAAACTAAGGCTTGTAATAAGGTTAAGTAACTTGTCAACATTCCTACAACTTGTAAGGGAGTATAGATTCCAATCCAGGATGGCCTCACTTCAAATTCTGCGTCTCAATCACCAGCCCTTATCTTAGTCTTCTTTCCTCTTCTTCCTTTTTTTTTTTTTGTAATCTCAACAACTAGCACAGTGTCTGGCACAGAAGGGATGTGGTGACATTTAATGCATATTGGTTGAAAGCACCACTGGATGAGGCATGTTCAAGACAGAATCCACACTGGCCTTCACTCGGCTGTTATGTCACCTCTCACAGACAACACATACCAACGATCCAAGAATGTGTCATTTTAAACACTTTAAAAAGCAAATCAAACTACATTTCTTTCTACACTGACACACATTTGGCATAAGGCTGATCTTTTCAGGTAACATTCTAGGAATCGATTTTAAAAAGCTAGGGGTTTTTCTTTTTTTTACTCAGTGATATGACAAGGATAAAGTAAAAAGCAGTAGGACCAGCCTTCTTAGTATTCCTTCTGCTAGTGATATTGATAACGAAACTCAAGCACATGGTGGTAGTAATTCTAAATAATGGAATGCATAACCAAAGTCAAAAAAAAATTGTAAAAAGGAGAGTGAGCGAGAGAGACAGATACTAAAATATCATGGCATGATCTTAGAGTTTATTTCACACTTCTCTCCATTTAATTTATGAAGAGAAAAATTGCTGTGATAGATATAAGTTGGCAGTTGTGATCATTAACAGGGAGCTATTGCCCATGGGTATGTAATAAAACGTAGTACATATTGATTCCTTTTAACGTTAACTATTTTGAGGTTGTGATTGAAAATTACTGTTGAATTGCAGATAACACTAGTTGTGCTCGACAAACGATAAATATTGTAAACTGGTTATAAAAGCAGTTAAGGTATTATTATGTTTGTGTCATTAGATTTACTTTACTGACATAAACAGTTCAAAACAACACCTATTTATATGTAATTTAAATACTATCTATTCAACTTACTTTAACAAATAGCCCCATACACAGTGCTTTATGCAAATACAAGAATGCACGCTTCTTTCAACTTGACTGAACAACCATCTCTCTTCTATTAAACTACTTTTCATATCATTTCAGGAGCACACTTTCAAAATTAACTTCTTTGCATGTAGGAGAAATTGCTCCTCCAATGAGAAAAAAAGAGAAATCAAGCAAAAAAAGGAATGAAAGAAAGATATTGGCCTTTATATGCTGTGAAACAGATTAAATAAATTCAGAGTCATGCACCAGAATGCTACCAACCTTGTGGCAGACAATGTTTCCTTAGTAATTGGATGAAACTACTTTAAAATCATCCAAACAGTGGTTTTCTGGACAGCATCAGTTTTAACAGGACAGACTAGAGGAGACTCTCAGTGGAGTTATTTTAAGGGCAAAATTCCAGGCAGGCATCCACCTCTGCCCCCAACACCCTGTTAGGTTCTCAGACTGTATCAGAAGCCATTTTTATTGGGAATAGAATCTATACTAGAAAGATTTCATGGGGAAAATATCCTTTCTGACCAATCCTTTCTGAATATTTATAAACACACTGAGTTCTCACGTGCATGAAATGAATGAAAAAGGTTCCTTGGTCTGTGCGAAACGCCAGTGCATGTCCTCAGATCACTTGTAACCCTTCAAATAGAGACAGATGCACTTTTGTTCGTTTCATACTCAGATGGCACTTGAGATACTGGGTCAGTCTTCTGTTTTCCTTTGTGCAAAATTTATAAGGGGATGATTTGGAGCCAAAATCTTTTTATCTTTGAACAGCCTGTCACAAGGTAGCTTGGGTACCTCCCAAAGTGAATTCTCATTTGAGAGACACCAATGCGACATTCATATTGCACAGAAAACCCTGAAAGTTATCGACAACTTAAGGTGTGTTATGGTATCCTTGGCATGAGGAGGGGGACTGACGATTTTCCTGTACAAGACCCCTGACTTCTGTTAGAGCTTGGCTTTTTAAAACACGGAAGTGGGAAACATGGACTCATAAATGAACACAAATGGGAATGTGTGGACAGAATACGTAATTAAAACTCTCTAAAAGAAAATGCTGGAAAATGATGAAAAATATTCGCCTAGACAGAATAACAACACTAACATATTTTTACAGTCAGAACAGAGATGGCCTATTGAATTATTCAAGAATTCAAATGTAAGTGCCACAAGGGCAAGATCTGAGTTTCCCCAGTGCCCAGCATTAGACCTATAGTTCCAGACACATCGTGCATATTTTGAAAAAAAAGATAATGGAGAGAAAAATCAGTTTTTGTCTATTTTGAAAAAAGTACAAACTAAGCTTCAAATGGTTACTGTCTTTTGCATGTGGGATTTTTTTTTATGAGTGAGTATTCCTGCAAAAACTAATTTGTAGTGTGAAGCTCATTTTGGAATGGATGCACATGCATTTTGATCCATGACTTATGGTCGTGGTTGTCAACTGGAGGACCTACTGCAGGCTGCTTCCTACCTCGTGCCATGTTCTACTCCTCCATCCTCCTTTGCTCTCTGCTGGCTGCTCCACGCTGCTTGGCTTTTGAGCTAATGCTGACTTTTTCACGTTATTACAAAGTATGTTCACTACGTCCTTGAAGCATTTCTTTTGTCCCTATTCAGTCAGAATGCCCATCTCCAGTTGCCCACTTGGAAATTGCTTTGATAACCTGCTGTCAGCCATTCTCTTTACAGGACCAACCTATTGAAACTGAATTACCATAAGTATGACTTTCCTACCAGTGTACTGACAGTGCTTTGGGCCCTCATTAATGCAGATCATTTGCCATTTAATTTTAAATATAGCATACAGGGGAGAATTGCCTAGGAACTGGATATCATATTACGACAGGCCGGACCACAGCTCAGAGAAGTAGAATCCTTTGTAGGCTGCCATGCCCTGAGTTCTCAATTAGAATTTCATGGAAGAAACCAGAATGTGTCCTATCACAGCCAGTCTCCCCTGTTCTCTCTACTGGTGTTTTTCTATATATTATATATTATTCTACCTTCTCCAACCCTCTGTTCTTTCTCACCTTACCATCCAACAAGGAAAAAAGAGGGATGTGAAACCAACTTTGAAATTGTCATCATGACAAGTAGTTCCCTAATCCGTCTTCATTCAGATTTCGGCTGCCTGAGATTCTACCGTTGTAAGAGAGAAATAAAATGATCATAATCCTTCGATGGTCAGAAGTACTTAGCTTGGGTATAGTAGTTATCACCATCTATTTTATTTCTTAGCTCTATTTATTTAGCTCTCTAGAAACCTTTCTAGTATCTATTTATTCTCTATGTTATGTTGGATGTCATGCTGGGGAACAGTGTCACAGGATAACATAATACATTTTGACATATAAGAGGAAGAACAATTTGAAAATGAGAGAGAGGGAGGGGTGGATAGTAAAGCAACGGATGAGAATTGTGTTGCAGCGGGAAGAGAATGATTAAAAAGAAGGAAGTACAAATATATTTACTTAAGATTCCTTCTTAGCTGTAAAAGCAGCTTTCATGTCTTCACTAGTTAGAAGTGAAAAGAAAAATAAAACAAAGATGATCTTGCCTCTTCTGAAATGAACTGGGAGCGTGCAATCAGATATTTGAGTCATCTATCCTCAAGAATAAATGGTAAATAAAATTTAACATATTATAAAAAAATAAAAAACACAAAGTCATGGTTTTCTAGCATCAGCGGAGAATGCACTTCTAAATGGAAACGTTTTCTAAATAATTGAAAGTAAGCTTCTTTAGGCGCAACCGTTCTTTCCATTTTAACCACTTGTAATGAAAATCCTCTTAAGGTGTGAGGACATGCCCGAATCTTCTTAAACAGAGGGCACAGAACAAAATGTAACCTTTCCTTGCTGCCCTGGGGTTATCAGGATGAACATTAGCTACTGCACTTTGCTGTAATGTGATGATGCCCTCGGGGACGACTGAGTGCCCATATGACTGTCCCATTTGACAAAAGGCGAGTTCAGAGTTCTGTTCTTCTAGCATTTTAATTTGATTATGTTTTTTTAAAAAACCATTTCAGGCTTTTAGATATTATTTGTTGCCACTGTTGGAAGGACCCCACTTACAGCAATGTACCCCATTTGCCTTTTGCTGTGGACTGATAAGTCATATCATCAGCTTGTATATATGTATGTGTGTATGTATGTGTGTGTGTGTTTATATATATAATGTTTCCATATTCTATAAATATATATGTATATGCACACACATATGTATATATTATACATACACATATAAGCGTGTATATATGTACATACATACACACATGTGCATATATGTATATATATACAATTTGGCTTTGAGTGAAGGGCTAAATGGCTCTTCTATTAATAATTGCCCAGCCCTTAGCATGTACTTTTGTAGTATATGCTTTACCATATTCAGAAAGCCCGGTATTTTCTCTGCTCTTTCTGGTTCTCAACTCTGTTCCATATCAAGGCTTCTCAAACTTAAGGACTAGAATTGCCTAGGGAACCTTCCAAAAAAAAAAAAAAAAAAAAACAGATTTGGATTCTATCAATTTGGGTTGAGGCCCAGGCTCTGAGCAGCAAGATTCGAGATTGCTCAGGTAATTAGATAAGTGGTCTAGATCGGAGTCAGCCAACTATCGTCTGTGGGCCACAATCCAGCCCATTGTCCATTTTATATGCCCCGTGAGATAAGAACAATTTTTACTTTTTTTAATGTTTGGAAAAAAATAGAGAGAAAAAGAATATTTGGTGACACATGATAATTACACGCATTTCCAGTTTCAGTGTCCATAAATGAAGTTTGATTGGAGCACAGCCACTCTCACCCTTTTACATGTTGTACGCAGCTGCTTCGCTCCACAGCAGCGCTGAGTGGTTGCAGCAGAGATGGTGTGGCCAGCAAAGCCTAAAATGCTTACTGTCTTGCCCTTTACAAAAACAGTTTACGACTCCTGATCTAGATGATAGAACTTCACATTTGAACAACACCGTGTAATTTACAAAGGGCTTGTGTTTCCTTTGGTCCTGATAGCAGTGTGAGCTAGATAGGACTGGGGCAGGATCACCCCGCACAGTTGGGCAAGCTGTTTCTGCTCAAGGATGTCCCGGAGGAGACCTTTTTCAAAGCCACACAACCCATAGGCTAGAAAAGGCCCTCTAGAGATGACAAATGCCTAATCCCAAATTACATGACTAACAATAGGATATGCCAGGACAGAGCTCCAAGACAAGTGCCTTCCCATTGCCCTTCATGGGGATGTGTTAGTTGAATTGTTGTAGTGATAATTCAAATTTTTTCTTCAACTAAATTGCTTCAAAAGTAATGTCATTTCAATCGTTGATATAAATCATGGACTTTTATTCTGATGGTAAAAACGTCCTTTAAAATGATAAAGTAGGCCAAAACCCATCACAACTATTATTTTCTTCCAAAGTTTTAATATCCAAATAAAAATGGAAACAGCAGAATTCACATTCATTAAGAAACATCTATTCATCTTTTAGATTCAAAAGATTTACTGGTGTTTTTTTTCCAATGCTTGTTTGATATAAAACAGATTCCATTAAACCCCTAAATTCCACTCCTTAGATTTAAAGGGCAGCTTTCAAAATAATAGTAAGTCTTGGACTCATCACTATTTATTGTTATTATGAAAGAGATTTTAGATCTATTGAAAATATTTGTTTAATTTATCCTTTAATTACTTAAAGATATTTCTTAATGGCATAGATGGTCTAGTATAATATTTTGTCTTCCATTTTGTGATCTATTTAATTCAAACACTATCGTTTTACAAATAAGAATGAATCATGGGAATAAAATGATTTCTTTATTAAATTTATGGGAGTAGTTTTGTCACTATGTCAGCAAGGAATGTTCCGGATTTAGTTTCTTTCATTTCCCACCAGCAGAACTAAGAAAACAAGGAAATCCTTAACTTCAGACAGGCAGTATCATAGGCGATGTAAATCCTCCCTTTATTTCATGCAAATCTCCCTACTCTCTCATAAGGCTTCATATGAGATTCACCTTCTGTATGATGACACATTAAAATTCCTTAGGCTGAAAGCAGAAAAGAAAACTGAAAACAGAGCCCAAAAAGGTGAGAGGCTGGCCAATCAAAATGTTATTAAAAGTACAATATTAGGAATGTGTTGACAGGCAAATTATTTGTTTGTGAACTTTCTGTTGTTGGAAATGAGCACTTTGATTCTCACACTCTTTTGGAAGAGTGCTACAATGTTATCTTAAGGAACCAGGTTTTTAATTTTATTTTATTTTGCTTTAAGTTCTGGGACACATGTGCAGAACGTGCAGGTTTGTTACATAGGTATACATGTGCCATGGTGGTTTGCTGCACCCATCAACCCGTCATCTAGGTTTTAAGGCCCGCATGCATTACGTATTTCTCCTAATGATCTCCCTCCCTTTGTCCCCCGCCCCCAACAGGCCCTGGTGTGTGATGCTCCTGTCCCTGTGTCCATGTGTTCTCATTGTTCAACTCCGACTTATGAGTGAGAACATGAAGTGTTTGGTTTTCTGTTCCTGTGTTAGTTTGCTGAGAATGATAGCTTACAGTTTCATCCATGTCCCTGCAGAGGACATGAACTCACTCTTTTTTATGGCTGCATAGTATTCCATGGTGTATATGTGCCACCTTTTCTTTATCCAGTCTATCATTCATGGGCATTTGGGTTGGAGGAACCACTTCTGCACTTAAATATAATCAAGGAGTATTTGTGAAGCCTGCTTGACTTGCTTTCTTGTATGAATATGCTAGCACTTGAGATATTCCTTATATTTTGTTAGAATTAGACGTGAGAAAATGGCATGAAGACTTTTAGATTTCAAAATCTGCTAGTGTTCGGCATCATTACATTTCTAAAATATCTATTTCATTTCTTCATAATTAGCTTCCTGTTGTTTTTCAAATTTGCATCTTTACTCACTTTATAGAGAAAATAAAGGGCTAGGTTTTCTAGTTGTGGTCTCTCAGGCTTTTGGCAACACTCTTTTTTTTTTCTTTTTTTTTTTTTTTTTTTGAGATGGAGTCTCGCTCTGTCGCCCAGGCTGGAGTGCAGTGGTGCGATCTCATCTCACTGCAAGCTCCGCCTCCCGGGTTCACACCATTCTCCTGCCTCAGCCTCCCGAGTAGCTGGGACTACACGTGCCCACCACCACGCCCGGCTAATTTTTGTATTTTTAGTAGAGATGGGGTTTCACCGTGGTCTCGATCTCCTGACCTCATGATCTGCCCGCCTTGGCCTCCCAAAGTGCTGGGATTACAGGCGTTGAGCCACCACGCCCGGCCTTTGGCAACACTCTTAATGCCAAATACTTCAAAATTCCCAGGGAGCTGTGTCCTTTGCCTCGAAGATTTTCAGTCCTCTCTTTCTTTCATCCAATTCCACCCTTGCCCAATCACACTATGGCCCATGTGGCAGAGACTGACAAGTTGTTTGCCAAACCATTTCCTTTCTCCTTCTGGGCACACAGCTAGGTTACATTTCTCAGCTTCCCTCCAATTAAGTGGTGCCATGCTACTAAGTTCTGGCCAATAGAATCTGGAAAGAAGTGATACACACTATTTTCAGGTCTATTCTGTCCCTGGCCTACTTCTCCCCACCAGTCTCCACCTATTTGGTCTCTCTCCATTCACTGGCTGAATGGAAAACACTCCTAGGGATTAACGGAGGGCACCGTGATCACAGGGAAGGAGCCTGGGACCTGATGTCATCACACTGAGGGCACCGTGATCACAGGGAAGGAGCCTGGGACCTGATGTCATCACACTGAGGGCACCGTGATCACAGGGACGGAGCCTGGGACCTGATGTCATCACACTGAGGGCACCGTGATCACAGGGAAGGAGCCTGGGACCTGATGTCATCACACTGAGGGCACCGTGATCACAGGGAAGGAGCCTGGGACCTGATGTCATCACACTGAGGGCACCGTGATCACAGGGAAGGAGCCTGGGACCTGATGTCATCACACTGAGGGCACCGTGATCACAGGGAAGGAGCCTGGGACCTGATGTCATCACACTGAGGGCACCGTGATCACAGGGAAGGAGCCTGGGACCTGATGTCATCACACTGAGGGCACCGTGATCACAGGGAAGGAGCCTGGGACCTGATGTCATCACACTGAGGGCACCGTGATCACAGGGAAGGAGCCTGGGACCTGATGTCATCACACTGAGGGCACCGTGATCACAGGGAAGGAGCCTGGGACCTGATGTCATCACACTGAGGGCACCGTGATCACAGGGAAGGAGCCTGGGACCTGATGTCATCACACTGAGGGCACCGTGATCACAGGGAAGGAGCCTGGGACCTGATGTCATCACACTGAGGGCACCGTGATCACAGGGAAGGAGCCTGGGACCTGATGTCATCACACTGAGGGCACCGTGATCACAGGGAAGGAGCCTGGGACCTGATGTCATCACACTGAGGGCACCGTGATCACAGGGAAGGAGCCTGGGACCTGATGTCATCACACTGAGGGCACCGTGATCACAGGGAAGGAGCCTGGGACCTGATGTCATCACACTGAGGGCACCGTGATCACAGGGACGGAGCCTGGGACCTGATGTCATCACACTGAGGGCACCGTGATCACAGGGAAGGAGCCTGGGACCTGATGTCATCACACTGAGGGCACCGTGATCACAGGGAAGGAGCCTGGGACCTGATGTCATCACACTGAGGGCCCCGTGATCACAGGGAAGGAGCCTGGGACCTGATGTCATCACACTGAGGGCACCGTGATCACAGGGACGGAGCCTGGGACCTGATGTCATCACACTGAGGGCACCGTGATCACAGGGACGGAGCCTGGGACCTGATGTCATCACACTGAGGGCACCGTGATCACAGGGAAGGAGCCTGGGACCTGATGTCATCACACTGAGGGCACCGTGATCACAGGGAAGGAGCCTGGGACCTGATGCCATCACACTGAGGGCACCGTGATCACAGGGAAGGAGCCTGGGACCTGATGTCATCACACTGAGGGCACCGTGATCACAGGGAAGGAGCCTGGGACCTGATGTCATCACACTGAGGGCACCGTGATCACAGGGAAGGAGCCTGGGACCTGATGTCATCACACTGAGGGCACCGTGATCACAGGGAAGGAGCCTGGGACCTGATGTCATCACACTGAGGGCACCGTGATCACAGGGAAGGAGCCTGGGACCTGATGTCATCACACTGAGGGCACCGTGATCACAGGGAAGGAGCCTGGGACCTGATGTCATCACACTGAGGGCACCGTGATCACAGGGAAGGAGCCTGGGACCTGATGTCATCACACTGAGGGCACCGTGATCACAGGGAAGGAGCCTGGGACCTGATGTCATCACACTGAGGGCACCGTGATCACAGGGAAGGAGCCTGGGACCTGATGTCATCACACTGAGGGCACCGTGATCACAGGGAAGGAGCCTGGGACCTGATGTCATCACACTGAGGGCACCGTGATCACAGGGAAGGAGCCTGGGACCTGATGTCATCACACTGAGGGCACCGTGATCACAGGGAAGGAGCCTGGGACCTGATGTCATCACACTGAGGGCACCGTGATCACAGGGAAGGAGCCTGGGACCTGATGTCATCACACTGAGGGCACCGTGATCACAGGGAAGGAGCCTGGGACCTGATGTCATCACACTGAGGGCACCGTGATCACAGGGAAGGAGCCTGGGACCTGATGTCATCACACTGAGGGCACCGTGATCACAGGGAAGCAGCCTGGGACCTGATGTCATCACACTGAGGGCACCGTGATCACAGGGAAGGAGCCTGGACCTGATGTCATCACACTGAGGGCACCGTGATCACAGGGAAGGAGCCTGGGACCTGATGTCATCACACTGAGGGCACCGTGATCACAGGGAAGGAGCCTGGGACCTGATGTCATCACACTGAGGGCACCGTGATCACAGGGAAGGAGCCTGGGACCTGATGTCATCACACTGAGGGCACCGTGATCACAGGGAAGGAGCCTGGGACCTGATGTCATCACACTGAGGGCACCGTGATCACAGGGAAGGAGCCTGGGACCTGATGTCATCACACTGAGGGCACCGTGATCACAGGGAAGGAGCCTGGGACCTGATGTCATCACACTGAGGGCACCGTGATCACAGGGAAGGAGCCTGGGACCTGATGTCATCACACTGAGGGCACCGTGATCACAGGGAAGGAGCCTGGGACCTGATGTCATCACACTGAGGGCACCGTGATCACAGGGAAGGAGCCTGGGACCTGATGTCATCACACTGAGGAAAGTTGCCCAGGAGAGATGCCCTTTCAGGAACACCCATTTTGGACTGTCGTATGAGTAAAACATAAAAATTATTGAGATAAGAAAGACAACATGACTTTATACCCCAAAACGTAGTGGCTTAAAACAATAAACATTTACTCTCTCAGTTTCCGTGGGTCAGGGATTCAGGCATGACAAAGCTGAGTGTCTGGCTCAAGGAGTCTCATGAAACTGCAGTCCAATAATAGGCCAGGGCTGTGGGCTTAGCTGAAAACTCAACTTGGTTGGAGGAGATGTTTCCATGGTCCCTCGTATGGCTCTTGACATGTCTTGGACCTCTGACACATGGGCCTCTCTACAGGACTGCCTCATGACATGATAACTCACTTCCCCCAGGGCAAGCAATCAGAGAGAGAGAGAGAGAGCGAGAGAAGAGCCTAAGGCAGAAATCAGATTTTTAAAACCTAGTCTCAAAAGTACCGTTCTATTACTTCTGTAATATTCTATTTGTTAGAAGGAAGTAACTAGGTTTCACTGACACTGAAGGAGACAGAAGGGATAGAATGAGTGTTTATAGGCAAGAATACCAGAGGCGCTGGGCGCAGTGGCTTATGCCTGTAATCCCAGCACTTTCCAACATGGGTAGATCACAAGGTCAGGAGTTCAAGACCAGCCTGGCCAAGATGGTGAAACCCCATCTCTACTAAAAATACAAAAATTAGCCAGGTGTGGTGGCAGGCGCCTGTAATCTCAGTCACCTGGGAGACTGAGGCAAGAGAATCACTTGAACCCAGCGGGGGCAGAGGTTGCAGTGAGCCAAGATTACACCACTGCACTCCAGCCTGGGCAACAGAGTGAGGCTCTGTCTCTGAAAAAAAAAAAAAAAAAAAAAAAAAACAGAGGGTGGAGATCACTGGGAGCCATCTTGGGAGCTGACTCCCACATTGTGTGTGTTTCCCTGATTATCTCTGCTCTGCTCTGGAGCAGAGTGAATCACATCTTCTGCCTTGTTGGGATATATAAACATGCTCAGAGATGCTGTACATGACTGGGGAGATCGCATCTTGCAGAAGAACACCCAGCGAAGGGTTCAACGGGGGTGAAATATAGCTTAAGCTCTTGAGTCTTAAACTCATAAAGACACCGTGCAAGCTAGAAATGGCCTAAATAGTGACATTCCCACTAAACTCTGAGTAACGAGACAAAAGTTTCAGAGCAATTATTTAGTTCTGTATGTTCAACACATTGTACTATGAATTACACTTGGTATTAACTTAGTAAGTATTTACTGATTAAAGATACATGAGTGCTTGAATGACACATATAGCTTATATATTTTAAATGGCTAGTTTGTGATCAAAAGTCTTATTTGTGAGGAATTACAAGAAATTGGCTGAAAAATTGTTGCAAACATCAAGTACTGAGTCATAGCTCTCAGATCAAAATGTACAGTGTGTTTCTAAATTTTTTAAGGATTCTCCATGGAATTTATATATCTAGAACAATTAATGGATATTCTTTTTATATACTTTGACTGTAATTGCTAGACTCTAATTTTAAATCATTAAAATTATAATATTAAAGAAGAAAATTCCACAATAATGTGACAGATTTTCAGAGATATTCTTGCCTCAGTCTATTCATTTCCTCGGTCTATCTGGTATGCCTCCACATTACTCCAACTATCCCGACGCATACACTACATGAAATATTCTATCATCTGTAGGGTCATTTATCTCCCTGATAGCAATAATACTAATAATCTTCATGACCTGAGAAGCCTTCATTTCAAAACAAAAAGTTCTAACAATTGAACAACCCTCCACTAATCCAGATGCTTATTCAAGACAATATTCAGATCAAAATTATTTTCTTAATTCAAAACAGCTTCTATGAATGTATTTAGCTTATCCCATGAATGATACATAGACGGTCAATTCTAGCCATTTGGATTAACTCTGTGGTGATACATAAGTTGCTTGATAAATAACTATGATCATGACTGAGAAAGAAAGAATCAGCTAGAAAATTGTACATATGGGCATGTGTATAAAGATGGATTGTGTCTTTCTTCGGTATTTTTTCCATTGAACTCACAGTATTCAAAAGAAAATATTGAGCTGGGCGCGGTGGCTCACGCCTGCAATCCCAGCACTTCAGGATGCCGAGGCAGGTGGATCACGAGGTCAGGAGATCGAGACCACGGTGAAACCCCATCTCTACTAAAAATACAAAAAAATTAGCCGGGCGTGGTGGCGGGCGCCTGTAGTCCCAGCTGCTCGGGAGGCTGAGGCAGGAGAATGGCGTGAACCCGGGAGGCGGAGCTTGCAGTGAGCTGAGATCGCGCCACTGCACTCCAGCCCGGGCGACAGAGCGAGACTCCGCCTCAAAAAAAAAAAAAAAAAAAGAAAAGAAAATATTGAACCTCTATAAAGACACTGATGTTCATAGGGGGCCACGGAAAACAATCACCAATACATTGTTCCAACTATTGAAAAGTTCTGCTACCACAGATGCAGAATTAGAAAGTCTTTCTATATAAATAACATTTGAAATATTTTTCCACATTTACAACATAGCATAATATAATTATCTTAATTATGGGAATCAGATGAAATTACTGCTAATTTTTTATAGAAGCTTAATATTCCATATTTAGTTTTATTTTATTTGATGATTAATTTGTAAATATTCGCATATCCTTGAACTTCAGGAAATTTCATTGTGAGAAATTTACACAAAGATATTGTCATAGGAAGAGGTTAGACCTAGACAAAAAACTTGAAAAAAAATTATATCATTCGGCAAGAAAAACCAATACCACTAAAATAAAAAAATTTCCACCACAATCTGTATCCCTAAATTTAGATTTAGAATATCACAAATTTGATGATGAGCAAAATTTTTTAAAATTCCCTTTAATGTCATTCATATAATAAATAATAAATATTCTTGTGATTGCGCTATTAAGGATCTTAACCACAATACTAATTACGAGGTTATTAATCTTAAGGGCAACATCTGTATATTTCTATCAAGGTGGGAAGGTGATATGGTAAATTGCCTTGACTTCTTTTTAAAAAGATAAGCTTTTGAGATAATGACAGTAGTTCATTAATTTTTGATTCCATAATGTCTGATGGATAATACATGCTCATAAATATGTCTTGAATAAATAAATGAAGGAAATAAGAAAAGGGAAGGGAAAAGAAGGGAAAAAAGAGAGACTATGTGGGCACAAACTGATCTAGATCAAACAACAAGTACTATAAGCTAATCATACATTAAACTATTTTGATAAGGATTCTTGGTTGATTTTTATAAACACTCATTCCTACCTAAAAAAGCAAAACAAACAAAAACAGAAAAACCTTCTACCTCTAAATAGTCAACTCTATCAGTTGCCAGATAAGAAGCACTATTCTTCCAAACATTATGTATAGCATATTAGATTAAGCATTTTTCATACACATAAACTATGTTTCTCATGAACATTATCATCCCTCAGTACATTATGTATTTGGGACGATCAATAAATAATGAAGAATAACAATAACAATAACATCAACAAAGCCCCTGGGGACTACGAGGCTTGCACTCAGGC
Source organism: Homo sapiens (assembly GCF_000001405.40). Classification (NCBI taxonomy): domain Eukaryota; kingdom Metazoa; phylum Chordata; class Mammalia; order Primates; family Hominidae; genus Homo; species Homo sapiens. The sequence goes on along the minus strand of NC_000004.12, from coordinate 181,235,583 downwards.
AAAGGTCTGAGCAAACAGATGGCTTCTTCGTTGCGCCCTGAAAGCAAGCCTCGTTGCCTTCCGTAGAATCGCTAACGGCAGTAAATCCCTGAGCAATTGGCCTTCCATCAAAAATAGTCTGTATCCGGTCTCGGGGAGTTCACAATGAGGCACTTTTGGCAATGACGTCTCAGTTGATCACTCCTGTAATGGGGCAATTATAGTCAGAGAGGTTGTCTGTGATGTAACCCAAGCCCTCATTTCTACACAGCTGCGCAGACCATCAACTCAAATTGTACCAAGAAGTCAACTGGGAGCCTGTTCAGGATATGGGATATTTATTGGCTGAGGATGAGCAAAGCCTATTTGCTCAAACACATTGGAATTTATCTTTGTCAGCTTTGAGCACAGACTTTGGAGCATGTGCAAACAGCAGCACTGGTCCTGCCAACCAGGTTGTGCTGAGCTCTCCTCTAACCTGACTCTCTTGGGCCCTGCCTGTCACTCCTGTCCCAGACCAGCCTGCACCAGGGCTTCCCTTTGTCCATTCCCTGACTCCATGGGCTTGCACATGCCAACCTTTTAACTTTTGTGACTGCCCGAATGGATTTTTCAGAATTTTGATGTTTAATCAATAAATCCAGATAAAAGGATTGCAAGCTGCAGAGAGGGCCCAGCTGATATTAGATAGCATAATTATTTAATAGATATTTTCTTGGCTTTCATTGATAACCTGTGGCCACTTGGAAGGAAAACAGAGAATTGGTAGTTGGGGCTTCCAGAGCCAGGACTGGCATGCTGGGTGAGCCAACGGGGCCAAGCATTAGGGTGCTGTTTAATGCACTCTCAGGACGATGCCTGCCTGTGAGTCACAGTCTGAGGAAGGGGTCAAGGGAAAGCAGGACAAAATGATGGCTGGGGAACAAACGGAGGCCTGAATAAGTAGCGATCGAGATGAGGATGAAGAACAAGTTTGCGAGTAAAGAAGTCAGAGAGGTGCAAGGATAGAAGGTTGTGATCAGAGAAGGAGAATCAAACATTGGATTCCGGAAATAGCATGACTATGAATGGTGAGAAGTTCTAAGTTCACCTGCCTCTCTATTCCTCTTACCCATGAAACTGATATGAACTGTTGATAAGCTCATATCAATTTCAAGTAATAAAGCTGAATACAGCAGTGGGTCACAGACAACATTTCCTTCATCTGCTTGTGCTGGAGAGGCTGTGTGTGGGGCAAACCAACAGGGAGAGGCCAGCCTGCAGGCATCTGAAGAAGTTGAAAGTGTCCACAAGTACAAGCTCAAGTTTAACATAGGAATTTTTTACAAACATACATGTCTCCTGTTAAATGTGTGCAACTATCTGATTAAAACCAAATTGAGCATTACTTTATTATGAGATGTCACAATTTATGGAATATAAAAAAGTATATGTATATCCAAATACTTACTATTTCTGAAAGAAAAATATTCAAGTAATTTAAATAAGGTGATTGAATAGGGGCAGAAAGAAGAAGTTACATAGGGAAAACAATCACTGAAAAAGAAATGAGTGCTATAAGTTGTGGAGGGGAAACAGAAAAATAGTCAGGAGAGCAGGTTTGTGGGAGGACAGGAGGGCTTTGTCTTTTAGGGTGTTGGGGTATATTCCCTCAGAGTCTGAACTGTCTTCAGTTTTCTGCAGTCAGTAGGGAGCTCTGGGTCAGTGACGAACTGAATGTCTACAGAATGGGGGGATTTCAGGAGTCTCTTTAATGAACGGGGCACCAATAGAGAGGGTAGAAATGAAATTACAATTTTCTAAGGGGCACATGGAGAGAAAGACAGCAACAGAGATGGCTCTGTTGAGTGGAATGCAGAAATGATCCAGAAATGTGAGACCAGCTCTCTGGGGTACTCCCACCTCCTGATGTTGCCTGGTGATCGCAGTTGAGACTGATCTGGGGCTCCTAAAAAAACAGATGTGGACGTTCAATGGCCTCTCTCTGGAGTGGAAATTCAGTGGGAAGCCGAGTGCAGGATGGGGCCAGAGAGCTAAAAACTGTGTCTTACTTTTATATTTCCATGATCCTACTTGCTTTGTCTTCTGAATTACCTATAGTTTCTTTTTATCCCTTTAGTTCTTTTTTTCCCCCTAATCTAAACCAACTTTCAAAAACATTCTTGCAAGGTTTTATAAATATTTGCTTTTTAGTACATTCAGTAGAAATGAGAGCTTTAATAAAGAATAATGGTATGTTTAGTAGTAGTAAAAGATAAATGAAGATTATGAATGCTTTCAAATAATCCATATCATATCAATGAATTAGGACTCTATAGAAAGAGAGTAAATTCATCTTTCTGTTAATTATTGATACCCAGTGAGCAAACAAAATCAAACAACAACAACAACAAAAGCATTGTACTGGAAAATTTCTTAAGTACATTTCCTTAATTAAATAAAACAGAACTCAGACACATGTGCTGGGTTTTGTCTCCATCTGCCTCATATTGTACCTTTATTGTTGAAATTGAATTCGTACAATTAAGGCCTTTCTTCAAATAATGCATGTGTACAGGTAAGGAAAACACATTCTGATGCACTCAATATAACATCTTGCTATTTTTCAGACTCATATATATGAAAACCAACACGATAATAAATGAAAAAATTGAGGATTATCTTGTATACCTAAGAGAGCTTAGAACTCAAGTTCGTTCTCTTACTGACAAGAAAATTTGGAATTAGGGCCTACTAAATTCTGCAAATAATTAGTTCAAAGTCCAAGACTGAAATCTGGGTCTCCTGGCCCAGCAGCACAGGGTTCTTACTATTTTACTATTGATGCAAAGTGGGATACAGGTTACTTATTGTCAACTGGCCTTGTTAAGGAGAAAACCCAATGCATTTCATAAGGCAAAGTGCACGACTAGGGAACTGTAAGCTTTTACCCCAAGAAACAATCAGTTTCTCTTTTCAAATTCACATCTCCATTCAGAATGTAAAGGAAGGAGGCATTGATCTGCTGTCTGTGACTTTCTTAAGTTTTAGACATTCAATTAAGTCACCGATAATGTGAAAACATTATTTAGTTAAACCAGGGAGTCAATTTCAATTTTAGTTTCTTAAAAAAATGTTCACCAAACAGGAGGAATCGATCCTAAGCTTATAATTAGTCACAAATGGGGGGGAAATACGCTGACTCATCTCAAGAGCAATAATCAACACAATTATTCATAATATTTCTAATTCAAATTGTAATGTAAGGGCTAATCTCATCATCACTTATTGAAGTTTCCTAACACCCACCGAGAGACAGTGGGGCATGTTCGAAGAGCATCAGCGGATGTTCATAATGCCTTTAATTACTGAAAAGACATGGGCTATATTCCTAACACTGCATCAGGATGCAAGCTGAAAAACAGATCTGTGATTAAATTACTCCCTTAAAATAAATGTGGATTTTGTGAACTTTTCTATCTTTATGTGATGGCTTATTTATGTTGATAAGTAGTAAATATTCAATCCCTTCTGACAGAAATAGTGCATCCATATGCTAAAATATGCATTACAGTTGAAAATAAGAAGGACTGGACCATGTAAAGAGAAATCAGAGTTCTCAAAAATGTATCGTCTTTGTAAGCATTTCCATTATTCATATAGAGGTGTATCTTTCCCAAATAAAAGTGCTACACCATTCCAAATAATTGATTACATGCATGTTTCTTTTAAATATACCCAACTATTAATCTACTAAGATCAGCCTGTACTTAGAGAAGAGCAAAGGAAAGAACATCTGGATTTTGAATTGCTTTAAGAGCAGAACGCAAGTATCTACATTTCCTCAAATCCCCAAATGCTGCTTTAATTAGGCTTATTCATCATTGGTTTTAATAATGTTGTGCTAATTGTGTTATAAGATTAATATTGTTAAATAAGCTCACCTGTTTGATATTTATTTGCATTGCTTAAAAGTAACAGAAACAAAATTACGGAGGTAGGCAAAAAAAAAAAAAAAATGTCCAGAAATACTCTAAATTCAAACAAACATGAGGAAGTTGAGGCATGAAACTCATCATAAGTTCTCCCAGTTTTTTCTCCAAAACAGATCCCAAACCCAACTACTCGTATTACCTCCACTACCTCCACCATAGTTCAAACCACCATCATCTGTCACCCAGGCAATTATCAGAGCCTTCTGTTTCTACTTTTGCTTCTTAAAAGCCATTCTCTACATAGCAAAAGGAGGGATAGCTGACTTATCCCAGCTTACAAGTATAGATGGTTAAATTTTCAGGGATTTTGTGAGCCAGTTGTTACACACAGAAATTTTAAAAAATTAAATTATATACTCTTACAATTAAGTTATATTAAAAACAAAGTAATTGCTCAGAACGCATCACTTCTTTAGTGGAGTAGTATATCTTTACTATTATCTAAGCTCTTAAGATTATTTACATCTACTCTCTCTGCATGGTGTAAATAATACATAATGGTCCACTATTGTGACTCTCTTCCCAACCGCTTATTGAGTGCTGTCTCATTGATAGCTTAAAATTGGCCTGGTGGGGGTATTAATACCATAGAAATTAGTAAATGCTACAAATTAGGGCATGATGTACTGTTTTGTAGATTGTCTAGACCTAATGAAAATATGGAGAAAATATCAATAATGTAGATTACACTTAAAAGTGTGTTAAGTCTTTAGCTGTTATATTTTGAGTAGCACAAAAAATTGAGGAAATAGTCTTCCAGTATCAGAAAATTATTATAGAGTGACATTCCAAAATTTCTGAGATGTATCTTCATTGTTTCAGCCTCATATTACCCATCATTGTAAATAAAAATATTAACAACATTCATGTTGTTTTAACCAACATTCATGTTAAAATGAGACATTTTTGAGCAGCTATTGTATTCCCAGAGTATTGTAGGTGCTCAAAAAACATCTCTTGAATGAGTTTATTAATGTACCCTGAAATCTTCTGACCTCCTTTAGCCCATCTTCTTATTTCTTTTCTAAATCCAGCGGTATCAGTTATCATGGAAACTCAGGAATGAGGATCAATCCTGTTTCTACAAATGCCTGAGTCACTGGTGATATCTTGCTGGCCACTTCAAGTCCTTTTTAGGCTATCCTTTCTGTATTTCCTGTACAAAATTTTGATTGCCACCAATCTTTTTATCTTTTTGTCTTTTCTTTTCTTTTTTTTTTTTAGACAAAGTCTTGCTCTGTCACCCAGGCCGGAGTGCCATGGCACGATCTCGGTTCACTGCAACCTCCACCTCCCAGGTTCAAGTGATTCTCCTGTCTCAGCCTCCCGAGTAGTTGGGATTACAGGCGTGTGCCACAATGCCTGGCTAATTTTTCGTATTTTTAGTAGAGACAGGGTTTCACCATGTTGGCCAGGCTGGTCTCGAACTCCTAACCTCAAGTGATCTACCCGCCTTGGCCTCCCAAAGTGCTGGAATTACAGGCATGAGCCACAGCACCCGGCCCCTTTTTATCTTTCATAGTAAAGTTCTCAAACGAGTTTGTAGAAATACTCTAGAAACTCATTTGAGAACTTTGAAAGATAAAAATTAAGGTGAAAATAGTATCATTTCTGGTATAACTGTTACCTAAGGAATGTTTTGGGGTTCTTTAAAATATGATATTTTCATATTTTAACACTTAAAAGTTGCAAATGCGAGTCTGTTGTGCAGGAGATTACTGTTAAATTGTGAATGCCAATTAACATTTAATGGTTAATCTTCACAAAATAAGAAGTGCTTCATATAGCATGCAAAATTATCAGCCACAGCATTAACAAAAACTGATTAGTTAACTAGCTAAACAGATTAAATACAGACTTTCAAGTTTATGGGGAAATGAATAGGCCTTAACTTTAATAGTATGGAATATTCTTTTATTTAAATTTTATGACTCCTCATCCAGTTTCATTTAAAATGTCAAAATTGTAATGGTAGTGACATTCATTTTATAATAGTGTTTGAAACATATGCAGTAAAAGGGGTTGTAATAATAATACTACAAATTACACGCTTATTTTTCCAGACCATACCTAATAGACTGTAATATCATTTTCAGTCACAGTTCACCGGAGTTAAATTTAGAGCATAATATTAAAGTCAAGGTTCCTTCACATCTAATTAGACATTAGAAACAAATGTGACCAGATCTGCATTCTGTTAAATATATGCAAATAATTCCTCAGAGGTGATGGAAAATTTAACGACATTAAAGGTAAAAGTAACCTACAGTAAAGGTATACAATCAATGACTGCAGATTCACCTTCAGCGTTGTGCAACATGACATCTCAGTTGCTGTAGGACACACTACAGCATAAATTGTACCCAACTTGTCTCACACTGCAAAATATTCAGGACTAACATAGAATATTTTATGCTTAGAAGCCTAACTTTTGGAAATTATGCCAGCAAGTGAGGCAGTTCAACAAAGCACCTATCATTGGGGTATGGATAGCACCACTGCAAATCTTGGCAGAGTCATTTATTTTCAGGAGCAGTAGGGAAACATTAAAAAGAAAGCATTTTGTTCATTCTTTGAAAATTCATATAAATAAGTCTTAGCTATAGACTGTATTTAGAAGTGAGTACTGTGGTTTTGGCTAAGCCCATCACACTAATGGTTTTGCTGTATTCATCCTCAGAAATAGATGGGGGGAAGATATTTCCCTGAAGTTCCATCAAGTAGGATCATAGTTAGATTTTTTCTCTACTTCTGCTTTTTATCATCTTGCTGAAAGATGAGATTGGGAAGTAAAAGTGATTTTACAACATCCGCTAGCCTGCCATGCAGCTTGGGGTGCTGACTGGAGTTTTCCAGTCAAAGCCTTCTGATTGGTTCTCCATGGGCTAATAGTATTCTTGCCCTACCTTCAAGAGTCCTCTTGCCCCATTTAGAAAAGGAAACTGACAGGGGCAAGACATTATTGCTTGAAATGCTTCTCTTGAATATTCCTGTAGCTATTCAAACACAAAGCATATAATTATTTCTCTTGAGCTGGGCATGGTGGTGTGCTTCTATACTCTCAGCTACTCAGGAAGCTGAGGCCAGCCTGGGCAAGATAGCAAGACCTTATAAAGAACAATTCATCTTTTAGCCACCATTTATGTAGACACTGAAATCATTGCAACAAGTATGTGATATAAATATAAGTTTTAGCAGATAAAAAATTACTACCCTCATTTGTTATATTACATGTTTTGAAAATAGAACTTGTCCAGGCATGGTGGCTCACAGCTGTAATCCCAGCATTTTGAGAGGCTGAGGTGGGGGGATCATTTGAGGTTAGGAATTTGAGACCAGCTTGGCCAACATGGTGAGACCCCATCTCTACTAAAAAAAAAAAAAAAAAAAAAAAAAAAAAAAAAATTTGCTGGTGTGGTGGCACATGCCTGGAATCGCAGCTACTCAAGAGGCTGAGGTAGGAGGATTGCTTGAACCCGGGAGGCAGTGGTTGCAGTGAGCCGAGATCCAGCCACTGCACTCCAGCCTGGGCAACAGAGTAAGACTCTACTTAAAAATATATATATATAACTTTAGGTTTTGTTCATAAACTGTAAATGTAATCACTTAAAAGTAAAAAGCTTAAAAATTGTGGCAATCAACGCTCCTGGTGTCAGCATTTCCACTCTTTCCCAAATCAATCTTTTGCAGGGGAACTTCTTTCTAGATGCATTGCCAGCAATACTGGATCAATAAAAAGGTTTGGACACTCAAATTTGCCATGATTTCTTTACAGCTGAGAACCAAAAAATTGTATTTCTTGATATTTCTCTAGCAATATTCAACCACTGGGGAATATCCTGCCCACAAAATATCCCAGAGTCCTCATTTATACTGTACTTGGCATAGTGGCAGACCCAGGATTAAACATAACATTGATAGCAGGAGGAATAGCACCTTACCTTTGTTGACTTTGGTGGAGAGGAACTTGGTACATGTTAGAGGAAAAAGTCCCTGCGATAGCTACAATTAGCTTAGTTTGGGAGACAGTTTTGCCACTGAAATTGAGAATAATTCCAATGATAAAATATAGTAATTTAAGAATCATTTTACTATCTTTCAAAGTATCTAAGAGAAAAAAAACGGAAGCTAAATTTGTACTTTACACACTGAATTGTGTGAAGAAATCATAGAAAAGTAAAAAAAAAAAAAAAAAAAAAGCATAATTACTACTACTACCCATCATTGCAGAATTCCATGCTAATAATAGTTCCAGGCTAATAATGATTTGGGCTAAAATTCCTTCATAAAGTGAAACAGAACTTTTCATATTATTTCTATTAGGTATTGTTTTTTGTTTTAGAACAACCAATGTAACAAATGAATTCATTGTAGGATTTATATTTCTCCTGGAAAATTACTGCCGGATGGATATAGGAAATAAAAGTGCTATGGGTAAGATTTAAAGAGAGAGCTATCCTTGCAGAAAATATTTAGTTCTGCATATCTAAGCACTTTCAACTTGCTAGCATTTGGCACATCATCATTTCTCCAAAAGAACAAGGATACCAACATTAACATTTGCTCTAACACCTGATCAGCTGGACATGGGGGGAGCCTTGGAACGTATTTAGGATTTCAAGGTAATATATGGAAGCCTGGGTATAAAAGAAACAGTGAAAAAGGAATGACTGTTTCCTAGTGAGCTTGATGAGTAAAGCAGAAAAGACTCTGAAGAAAACAGTTACAATAATTGGCCAAACTGCACCTGTACAATCTATTCTGTGTAACAGACCTGAATAAATATGCAACATTTTCCCAAGGAAATATAATGTTTTACAAAGACGTTGATAAGAAAGAGACAATTATGGATAACATGATATTGCTTAAATTTAATGTATTGGTCAGAATACTAAAATACAGTTGATTCTGCAATATTCAAACAGTTCAGAAGTAAGTGGACACCGTAGCTCCCATTTCAGTTCTTCCAGGAGCTGACCCTGACCAGAGCAGGACTTAAGAGCAAGGAGTGTCTGACCCTCTGACCAGGGGCAGGTCTCATCATCTCTCTCAAACTGTTTCTTTATTTTAAAGACAGAGGAAGAGCCCAGATAAGATATGACGTCTTCTTTTGTTTTAATACTTGATTATTTTCCTAGGTCAGGGCTCAATAATTCAAGAAACCCTCAACCAAATTCAGTGAGCGTTTTTTTTTTTGTTTTTGTTTTTAAATCAGAGGATTCAAAGCCACATTTATGTCTTTTAAAGAAAAATTTCGAAAGAATTTTAAAAGAGATATCTACAGATTGCTTAGAACTAAAAATAGATCAAACGTTAAAATAATTAAAGGTCTGTGACTATTGACATAGCCTTTTTTTTTTTTCTATCACCACCTTTGTGTTTACCTCCTGACTGCATGCAGGAATCAGCAATTGTAAGCGTATAGATAAATTCCACTGTAATTCCCAAACCATATTTTAAACTGGAATTGCAACATTTTTCTCCGCAAAGCCTTTTTCAGGGCTGATAACATGTGGAACAATGGATTGATTTGAAGTCGCAGCTCTTTGTTTTCCAAGGCCCTCCCTCTGGCAGAGCAGCCACAGTGCCTAGAGGCGGCTGGGGGGAGGGATGACGAGCAGGGTGCTCACACCTTCCAGAATGGCTTGTGAACAATCAAGAGCTGATGGTATTAGTGAAAGGTTATTATTTGAATTAATCATACAAGTTTAAAACAACTTGGCATTTCAAAATGTTTCTAGGTAGGCGTAGTTTCCAAACTGCAACTGCCACCGAATGTAATACTTGGTATGTTAGGAGCAGTGTGCGTCCACTTGGGTGGGGAAGAGGGTGGGTAAACGTTGGGCTGGAGCCTCTGCCATCCTTCAAGAAATAGTTATCAGGGTTCTAGACCGATCTGGGCACCATCATTATCCCTTTCTGGTGTGGGGAGTGAGAAAAGAAGGGAGGGAGGGAAGGAAGAGAACAAGAAGGAAGAGAGAAGACAGGGGAAAGAAGAGAAGAAAAAGAGAGAGACAGGCTTAAGAGCTCACTATAGCTTTGTGCTGACTGGTGATTTCCGGTAGCAAATTGTATCTTTTTTCTTTGTTTCCTTCCCCGATATGTAGTGACAGTGGTCTGGTTAATATGTAGAAGTACTGAACAAATCAAATAAGATAATACATCTGCTGCTAAAGGAACAAGTCTAAGCATTAAAGAATTGGAGAAATAGGATATAGATAGCATAAGTGCAATATAAATGTATCTCTCCTTGAGAGTGGGTAGTGGTTGAATCCAGCAAACATTAATTGAGTACGTACTGGCAACCAGGCACTGAGCTAACCTCTATGCTAACCAAGGCATCTAGAATTGAAAGACGAATAAGACAGTCTTGACATTGAGCACCTTATATTCTACTGGAGGAGGCAAATACTTTCACAGGCCATTTTGGTAAATGGAAACTGACATGATGGAGTCTGCATAGATTGATGCTGAACACACTGGTGAGCTGCAGCTGGGTCCCGGGGCTTATGTTTGAGCTGAGCTTTTCAGACTAGGTATGCAATGGTCTTGCCAATAGACTAAACAGCAAGTACACACGCTCAGAGAGGGTATGAAAGAATGCTATGTGTCTCGCTGCCATTAAAGTGCGGTTTGGGACATAGCCAGTGTTAGGACAGGGCTGGAGACATAAATAGGGCCAATTCATGCATATCTTACAAAGGGGTTTAAGACTAAATTCTGTAGGGACTGGGGCACATAGAAGCATACCAGTGACAAAGTTACATATGAGTTTTATGTTATATTAACATCATCACATGAAAAGATTTTTGAGAAAGATCATTTGGAGGGTACTATACAGAAAAATGAAAGAAGAATTTTAGAATGAAGACTAATGTGTGCTCTGTCTGTTCTGGAAGGTCAGGACATATATTATGCCCTCTGCCTCATGTAGACCATGCTAAAAGGTTACTAGCCTAAAGTACCCACTAGTCTTCTCTGTTTTCTTTCATTCTCTCTCTCTTACTTTCCAAAATAGTGAGGTTGCCACACTAGCAGTTGTATATGGGCTGCCCAGCTCTTCTATTAAAAAGCAACCAGGTTGATATCAAATGCTAAATAGGACACAGAATTGGTACCCGGGATGTCAGTGATGAAGTACTGTAACTAGAAATGCTTTTAGGTATGCATATTGTGTGTTTTAGTCCCTAAATTAAATAAGCTAGAGAATTAAAAATAAAATACTTCAGACACACTTCATTAGGCAGGGATATTAATGATAAGGCAGATAGTTATTTTTTGGTTCATGCACTTAATCACAAAAATATGAGATGGAAGTATAATTGCATTAATGACTTTTTTGTCCATAATCTTTGACGCTAGTGTTTTTAGTAAACGTACATTAGTGGCACCAGCCCTCCAGTTATTATCTGATAAATCTATGAATCAAAAAAAAAGGCTATGGTAGTTTAATAGCCCTATATTTTAGAGTCTGCGGAGTCATCAATTGTTATGAAGTTATTTATAATTTTAAAGAACATTTGAGTACAAAATCATTTAAAAAGAGCAATAATCTAACTTCAATTGTTTTCCAAGGAACTGAAAGGGAATGAATTCATCAAAGGTTTCAAAACAATTATATATTCCTGGGGCAGCATATATTTAAAAACACATAAATTCTGGAACATTACTAGCGATGCATGTCTGTGGCTTTCTCATATCAATCTTAAAAATATTGTGATATGTACTAGTACATGAAAAAATAGCTATTTGGCTAGTGATTTTAGCCGTGTTAGCAGTAATGTAAAAATAGGAGAGCTGAAAAGATCCAAACTCTCTTGAAAATTTCAAATATTTATAAAGCCAATCTGAGCACTGTTTAAAATGATTATAAAGTTTAAAAAACTTCTCAGGGAGCTGCATCGAGCCCAGAGAAAGAGGAAATATCCTAACTGTGCTCATCTTTCTCTGGTTCTATTGAGGTGGCTTTTTTTCAGCCTCAGTGATATTTATCAGTTGATCAGCACATATTTGTTGTACCCCTTAACTCCCTACAACCCGGAATGGACAACTTTGGCTAACTGAGTGGAGGCAGAAACATATTTTAAAAGATTTACCTGATTACTTAAAAAATTAAAAATGATACACATTATCTACAGCGTTCTTAATTTAAACCTGACGGACAGGTTGCTTTTTATTGACTGTTCAAAAATGCACACTTAACACAGTAAGATGGAGACCATATTTCTGTGCTGAGTGGATGAAATAACCTTCTAATTTGTGCAGTTCATAACCCCTTGCCTGCCCAGGGATAATGATATTCTAGACAGGAAACATGATCAGAATATTAGGATGTCAAAAGGCTTAGGCTGTCATCATATCACAAAAATTAAAATGTCTTTACTTAAAACCTTGTCTGTCACATGCTTTTTGCTAGAGCTTTCCTCACTAGTATCACTGCGGTGAGGCAGATACTGTTTATTTTGCCATAAATACCATTTCCAGGAGGTTTTCAACAATGGCTTAGGGCTGATACATGCCCTGCTAGGTATCTCTTTGAAAGAAAGCTCTTTAGGAAGGATCTTTTGTACATTTAATCACCAGTTTTGTTTTGCTTAAAAGAAGCAGTAACAATAGCCGAAGTCCCTACAGCCTATGCAATGATTTGGAATCACCTGCGGTGGCTGAGGGGGACATCCATCCACATTCTGCTTGCTGAACCGAATCCGACTTTGCCTATATATTTCGCAGGCCTTTAAATGGACATTATCGGGCCCCACAGCATATTGAAAGATAACTTAAACAGTGTTAGTGGAATGGTTCTTTCGCTTGGCCAGAGGAATTTTTTTTTCTCAACATTTCTTTCCACACAGTTGATGACCTTCTTCCATTACTGTGTTGTATAGTATGAGGAATAGAATTAAATATCTGGACTAAAAAATTTAAGAGAAAGTAATCCTATATACATGACGTGTGTGTGTGTGTGTGTGTGTGTACACACATTTTGACTGGTAACTACACCATCTTGATTGAAAGCTGTAAGCTGTTGTGTGGGTTATTCAACCTGTTCTTCTATTTTTCATATTTGTAACATAGAAGGGAGATTATTAAAATTTTCACATAAACTTTGAAAGGCTTAATGAGAAATGCTATGAAAACAGATTATTTTTATTTACCCGAAACAGACCTATTTGGGTTTATTATTTTGTGATTAAACACCATACTAGTTGACAGTGAAAAGCATTTCAGCTTGCTGCACAAAATATTAGTCTCATATTCATATAATGCAATGGCATACATTAAAACTGTTTCATTAAGCTATCTCAAATATTTCCAACTCTGTCAAAGGCAAGTGAGCCTTTATAATAATTTTCAAATTCTGAGTTGGAGAGTTGGCATACATGTTCTATAGCTGATAAGTAATTCTTTCCAGGATATTTTTTAGTTTTTATTTTGTAGGAGGCATATGGGTGGAACTAGGGGGATCATGGATAAATGCGATCAATAAGGCTGTGAATACAAATCATGAAAAATTATTAATGTTTTGGAAGGAAATTGAGAAAACCCATGTTGACAATCACAGCTCAAACCAAGCAATTAACCTAATTTTAACCATCAACAACAACTGCTACTATCCCTGATGCATCTGAAATTCAATTTATGAGAAACGTGAAAAAGTGTCCTTTTGGCCACCAAAATGACACAACTACAGGCAGTCATAGGGGAGATTTTTATTTTGACTCTTTCGATATTTGCCCACTAAGTTTGTTATACGTTTCTTATCTTGACATAATTTTCAACTAAAACTTTAAAAAATCTTGGTTAAATATGAATATCTTAAATAAGCTAGCCTCTAAGTGAACGATTACTATGAAAATTAGATGAGCACATATTTATAATTTTTCACTCTTAAAAATCATTACACGCCTGTAATCCCAGCACTTTGGGAGGCCGAGGCGGGCGGATCACGAGGTTAGGAGATCGAGACCATCCTGGCTAACACGGTGAAACCCCGTCTCTACTAAAAAATACAAAAAAATTAGCCAGGCGTGATGGCGGGCGCCTGTAGTCCCAGCTACTTGGGAGGCTGAGGCAGGAGAATGGCGTGAACCCGGGAGGCGGAGCTTGCAGTGAGATGAGATCGCGCCACTGCACTCCAGCCTGGGCGACAGAGCGAGACTCCGTCTCAAAAAAAAAAAAAAAAAAAAAAAAAAACCATTACATACTAAACATTTCTTGATTGGAAACGCAAGGAAAGAGTCTATTTATCTAATAAAAATGTTACCTAGACAGTGACTGTTTTACCTACAGTAGATCAATGCGCAGTCTGGTTCATATATTTGTGTGTGTGTGTGTGTGTGTGTGTGTGTGTGTGTGTGTGTGTGTGTGTGTGTGTGTGTTAAACTGGAAGTTATAGAATAGAACACAAAGACTTTTTGATGGGACTTGGGACTGTTTTTCTCTGCCAATAATGGAATAATAGTAGTAATTCTGATAGACAGTCCATAATACAAGTACTTCTTTCCCACAGTATATTATAATAATAGGTATAATGATTTCTTAATAGCGCCACTACTGCCTAATTGCAGTTACTCTCAGTCACATATAGAACCTATGTCTCTTCTACAAAAGAGTTGTTTATTTTTACCTATTATAAATGTATAATTAGGGAAATAAGTTTGGTTGTTTCATTGCCATTTCTGTCATCATTTTTATTATTCTGAATACAAACTAAGCACATGAAATAATTTCCTCAGGTTAAAGAATTAAAAGTCATAAGAGGTTTTTCTCTATTTTTTTTACAATGTAGAAAATGGAAAATATCTAAATTTTGAAGAGTGTTAGAGCATTGTGATAATCAGAAAGAACCTATATACCAAAATGCTAATGCCATAACAATTGATAATGTTTATAAAATCAAATTAAAGTCGATTTGTTAAAGTTAATACAATTCGATTCAATGTGTATATATCATTCAATCTATTCCATGTGCCAAAGAGTATAGTATTATTCTTATTCTCAATTATTTTATAATTCAAAATAATTCTTGATTATTTTATAATTCAGCAGTCAATTAAAGTACATATTCAGTGACTTTCTCTCCTCTATTATCCTCTTGCATGGATACAGCCAGAATTTTGTCTTTACTGAAATTGCTCTATTAATAAAACCACTGACTCAAGCATTCCATTTTCTAATCACAATTTTCTAGGCTTTACAGTTTGATTATTCAGCTACTCCCATCACGACCATTCTTCAACTTTCTAAAGACCCCAGTCCACAAATATTTCTATCTTCTCTCCATGTATTAGTTGCCCTCTTTATTTCCATCCTCTCTATTCAGGTTACATTCCATGATCCATTCAATAAGTCCTTTTGCCAAAGATCTAAACTTCCTTGCTTCTTTTACCTTTGGTAATTCCTCTGACTCACCTGAAACCAAATACCCACTTCCTCCCTGCCTGCCTCTAGGCAGCTGAGTTTAATTGGAGGAAATAAAACAAAAATACATTATTAATGATAACCTATTCAGAATAACCAAGCTCATCTGGATTAATACTAAAATGAAGTCAGTATAGCTAACCTCAGCTAGACCCTCATTGTTACTTAAAAAAATCCTATTACAGGCTGGGTGCAGTGGCTCCTGCCTGTAATCCTGGCACTGTGGGAGGCCAAGGCAGGCAAATTGCTTGAGGAATCTGAGATCAGCCTGAGCAACATGGCAAAACCCCGTCGCTACAAAGAAAAAAAAATACAAAAATTAGCCAGGCATGGTGGTGTGTGCTTGTAGTCTCAGCTACTTGAGAGGCTGAGGTGGGAGGATTGCTTAAGCCCAGGAGGTTGAGGCTGCAGTGAGCCATGATTGCACCACTGTGCTTCAGCCTGAGCAACAGAGTCATACCCTATCTCAAACAAACAAACAAAAAAAAACAAACAAACAAACAAAAAAATCCTATTATGTTTCTCCATTCAACTCATACTTCAGATCTTTTTGACTTTTTTTTTTTTTTTTGAGACAGAGTCTCGCTCTGTCGCCCGGGCTGGAGTGCAGTGGCGCGATCTCGGCTCGCACTGCAAGCCCCGCCTCCCGGGTTCACACCATTCTCCTGCCTCAGCCTCCCGAGTAGCTGGGACTACAGGAGCCACCACGCCTGGCTAATTTTTTGTATTTTTTTAATAGAGACGGGGTTTCACCGTGTTCGCCAGGATGGTCTCAATCTCCTGACCTCGTGATCCACCCGCCTCGGCCTCCCAAAGTGCTGGGATTACAGGCGTGAGCCACCGCACCCGGCCCTTTTTGACTCTCTTAAAGCACTTATTAGTTCGGCTTCTTTTCTCGTCAGTCTCAGCAGATACACTGGCTACTAAATTCTTAGAGAAAATAGAAGCCATCAGATGGGAACATACAAAAATGTTTCAGTATCAAAAATATTCTTGCATTTGCAATCAGTTTTCACTTTTTTTTATACAAGATATTTACAATTTATCTCCCAGAGTGTACATTTTAACAAATTAGAAAAATATTAATAAAAATATTGCATACTGAACAGTGGCATAGAATAATCCAGGATATCAGGCCTAGTTTAGAAAGTGAGGTAGGAGTGTAAGGAAAGCTCCAAGTGGTAATATTATACCCAAACTTAGTAGGAGTTAATTAGGGGAATGTAGGAGGAGGGAAATAATCCAGATGAGGAAATCATATATGTAAAGTTCAGGAAACTACAAAGAGAATGAACAATTGGAGAATGGAAAGGTAAATTTTCCGGCATAAGGAAAGCAAGAAATAAAGTATTCTATCTGAGGTTGAAATGGGAGTCAGCGGCCAGGCCATTCATTGCTGCATGTAGCAATAGAGGAGGTATCCGTCTTTCCAGTTGAAGTCAACTGTGCTGTGATTCCATCCCACCTCACCTTCTCAGGAATCTATTTTTTATTATCTGCTTCATCCCTGTGTCTTCACCTTTTTTGTTGTTGTTGTTGCACAGGCTGGAGTGCAGTGCAATGGCAGGATCTCGGCTCACCGCAACCTCTGCCTCCCGGGTTCAAGTGATTCTCCTGCCTCAGCCTCTGCAGTAGCTGGGATTACAGGCATGCACCACCACGCCTGGCTAATTTTGTATTTTTAGTAGAGTTCGGATGTCTCCATGTTGGTCAGGCTGGTCTCGAACTCCCGACCTCAGGTGATCCGTCTGCCTTGGCTTCCCAAAGTGCTGGGATTACTGGCGTGAGCCACTGCGCCCAGCCTTCACCCTTTTTTATATAGGCATCTTCCCATCAACATATAAAAATGCTCATCTGTCCCTGAACCTATCTCCTCCAACCCTATTACTTTATCTTTTTTCTGTCCATACATAGAAATACTTGTCTTCACATTTGTTTATTCTTACTAGTTCAGTTTTCTCACCTTCCACTTAATGTTCAGTCAGCCTCAATTTCCCTTCTGTTATCATCACTATATCACATTGTCTATAAGTAATTAATATTTAAATGTCTCCTATTTCTAAATGTCTCCATCTTCATCTTATTTAGAATCTTGGCACTTTAATATTGTTGTCTTTTCTCTCTCTCTCTAATTCCTTTTTTATCTGGAGTTTTGGGTTCATCTTCTTTGTAACCTGCATTTGTTCTGGATTTTTAAATTTGCCCTCCACAATGCAGATGAACAGATACTTGCAAAACACAAAGTTGGGTTTCTTTGGCTGCCATTATTCCTTACTATAGAGAACCATATTTTTAATATGGCCCATGCAGCAATAAATGGCCTGGCCACTGACTCCCATTTCAACCTCAGATAGAATACTTTATTTCTTGCTTTCCTTATGCCAGAAAATTTACCTTTCCATTCTCCAATTGTTCATTCTCTTTGTAGTTTCCTGAACTTTACATATATGATTTCCTCATCTGGATTATTTCCCTCCTTCTACATTCCCCTAATCAACTCCTACTAAGTTTAGGTATAATATTACCACTTGGAAATTTCCTCACACTCCTACCTCACTTTCCAAACGAGGCCTGATATCCTGGATTATTCTATGCCACTGTTCAGTATGCAATATTTTTATTAATTTTTCTAATTTGTTAAAATGTAAACTCTGGGAGAGAAATTGTAAATATCTTGTTCACTATTGGGATTCCAGGATTCAGGCCTGAAACAAAATACAGAAATAAGTATTTGTTAGATGAATGAATGAATGGGTGAATTGGCAGGGATGGATTGTTGCTGATTGCTATCATAGATGCTGAGTTCTATTTAATGCGCACATTAATATTACTGAGTACTTTTGATAAATGTGACTGAGTACTTTTTGATCTAATTTGATAATACATTTTTAAGCATATTTATCATTTGCCTCTAGACCTGGCCCTTGAAAGTTGAACGTATTTTTAGTAACACTAACTTCCCAGAACTTCGCACTGGGTTTATTTCATGGGGAATGCTCAGTAAGTGGCTGTTCAATAAATGGTAATAGGTAGAACAGAAGGCAGTTGTACAGATTAAAAAGCCACAATAACTCAATGCACTTTGTTTTAATTTGAGACTAGGTGAGACTAGGATGGGAAAAGTTATTCCTCATCTCTTCAATACAATGAAATTTAACAACTAGGGGTGTGTAAACATCTTGAAACTCATTAGTTGTTTTATATGAATAATCTTGATTCAAGTTTGCTATTCTGCAATCATGTTAAAAGAAAAACAGATAATTTTAAATTAAAAGTGTATTTTTGAGTAGGAGAGAGGTAGGATAAATTCTGGACATAAGCGACTGTTAGGCACTTGTCTGGGTATTTTTGGGTGTTGTAGAATCTCTTTCTCTGAAGATTGTTAGGAACTCATGACAGTTGAGGTATAGTTCTGCCTGAAGTCATGAGAACTAATTGGATGACCCCTCTACTTATCAGTTTACACTGTGAAGAGTACTACAGGAATTCTCTCCCTGGAGATGGCCCATAGCAACAAGGACAGAATAGTCACACATCCAGGAATGTCAATATTCAAGTGTCATGAAATGCAATCCAAAGAAGAGCTGGTTAGTTATCACCAGTGTTTGAAGAATCCGGAAATGTTTACATTTTATATAGTCTAATCATCCTTTCAAGCATGTGTTAAGCTACTAGTCAAATTATGGCTATTCCAATTCTTAGTTTGATATAAATCAGTCAACTGTTTGTGGAGTGGCCACAGGGCATTTTACATGGCATTAGATGCTTGGAATTAATAGTTACTCCTTCAGGATTTATCAACTAATAAGATAGATAAAAACCAGTGAAAACAAAATCTTTACAGACACATAGGCAAAGCTAGTACATATAGAGGGCTATCATGAGGCGGGGTAGGCATGAGATTCTGTGATAAAATAAAGGTATCGAATTCAAGGTTCTCAACAGAAGCAGTAATGCCCCTGGGGTCCAGTGGTGCACCTGGGGTCTTTTGAAAATGTGTTGAAATGCAATTTTGTGGGTGCAATGTTTGGCTGTACTATAATCATCCAATGGGTGAAATCCAGGGATGCTAACCTCCAGGCCAGGCACAGCGTGTTGGGGTGGAGAGAGAAGTCTCATATTATGTAGGGTTTTCACACGTCAATTTTCAACAGAAAAATCTTATTTGTAATCATCCACGCCTATAACCTAGGTGAGATGAGAGACAGAGGTCTAATCAGGAGAACACTAATGAACATGTGCTGCACCAGGCACTAAGAACCCTAAAAAACTGAAAAAGTAGTTGCTGCCCTAATGACAATTTTTAGACATAGACTTCATTCATAGACAATAGGTTTCATTTTCTTTATAGAAGGAAGTACTGCACTTCTGTTAAAAACTCAAAATTTGTCCTATTATACTCATTCAGTTCAATATTACAAGAAGAAGCATGAGATCAAAGCATTCTGATCTATCAAAGCACATGTCATATTTTATTATTTTCACTACTTTGACATCCAGATAATTTCACTCCCCCGTTTCTCCTGTACACACATATATACACACCAATCATTAAAGTAATTAACTCAGGCAAGACCACACCACCTCTATGGGGATAATGTTGAAAGGTTTTCTAAATATGGTGGCATACAAATATTTTAGTAGTATGATCAATAAGTTCCATTCTATCGGGCTTTATAATTTGCACATGCCACTCTTTGAGAGCAAAGCACAATAAAATTGGCCTTTTTACAGTCAAATGCCTTGATTTTTGTTTCATATTTTATCTCTGAAATATGATCATTGACTAAAACAAAACCTATGGGGCAGAAAGACATTTTCCCAGTTTGCAAATCAAGCAGAAGCACGAATGTTTGCCAGGGTCTCCAGCAGTTCTGTGCTAGGCA
This sequence comes from Homo sapiens, assembly GCF_000001405.40. Classification (NCBI taxonomy): domain Eukaryota; kingdom Metazoa; phylum Chordata; class Mammalia; order Primates; family Hominidae; genus Homo; species Homo sapiens. The sequence continues at coordinate 181,215,323 of NC_000004.12, read as the reverse complement.
TTTCTCATGCATCTGATAATGTGACCTTTACATGACAGAACTGGATCAAGAATAACACATTTTGATGGTACTTGTAAAAGTAATGCAACTGCTGTCAAAAATACCCAGGCTGGCCATGAAACTGGAATATGTAGTAGGTGCCGTGAGGACAGAAGGAAGAGTTAACATTTTCACTGCAAATGTTTCCCTCTTATTAGTGTTTAACTTGCAAAAGTTATTTGACATCCAGTTTCAATAAGTAAATTTAAAAAAACACAATATAATTGATCCAATGCAGTTCTTACAATTGAAAGGAAAGTTTAACAGCGAAATAATGCTGGTTCATGGCATACTGACAGAGTCATTTATTCATTTATTCAAACAAATTGGCTGACTCTCCATGCAAAATAATATGTTAAAATGTTTTAATATGCTTTTATCTAAGAAAAACAGAACAAGGAATAAAGCTTTATTCACACTCAAAAAGAGCTTTTGGTTGAATGGAAGGAGCTAGACGTATTTGGAGGAGCACACGCTTGATGTCCTGTTTCATACCACACATTTGTCCACAAAGGAGGGAAAAGTAAACTCAGTTTGGGGATGATTGCAGAAAGCTTCTTGGAAGAGGTGCCATTTGAACTAGATGGTGAGAGGTGAGTAGTAATCCAGCAAATGGCATTCTGCTCAGATAGAATTCCCTAGACTCAAGAGCTCCAAATGTTCTCTGGGGAATAATGAATAATTCTATTTGACTTTTGGGTAAAGTTGTGTTCAAAAAGAAAAGACCAGAAATTAAGTGCATGATAATACAGAGAGGGATAAAGAAAGAGCAACAAATTTGGGTTATAATTAGTAGATAACTAAAAACTAGTAAAGCGTATGTTCTAAGAAAAGTTTTTAAAAGACGAATTGGCCTGGTGATTATGACATTTCTGTTCTTCTCAAGCCTGTGCTCTGGGATTGTTAACTTTCAATAATTCAGTGACATTTTGTCACATGCCAATCATCCCCCAATTCTGGGTAAATTTAACTGTCATCTCTCTCTATTCTTGGTCCCTGCATAAAGCATGTTGTTATTTGGAAAGGAGTCTATTATTACCCGCGAGCTTGGCATGCTCAACAAATATTTTGAGCAAAATTCAACACCTGATTCTATATTTCTAATTGCAGCTGGTTGGACCAAGCATGGACAACTCCCAGGCTTGCCACAGGCCTCTGAGGGGTTACTAGCTGGAGCTCTGCCTCACAGGGGCCAGGGGCACCAAGGGACCTTTTAGAATCTCTCTTCAAGTGGTTTCAAGAGGAGACTTACAGATAAAGGGTGGCAGAGGGCACAGAAGTCAGTAGAATTTAGGAAATGGCAGAAGATCTAAATAAACAGCAATCATGAAGTATACAGGAAGAAAAAGGGGAAATGGGAGAAACAGCACCAGCAGACTTTGCAGAGAAGACTTAATGTGCTAGGCCTGACTGCAAGCAATTATTTGAAAGTCTTACACAGAAGTTTGGCCCTTAGCTGACATCTGGCAGCCTGGATTTTGAGAAGGTTCCCTCCACCCAGACTCATAATGGGTCACTGTGCCAAAACTGTGCAAACAACATAGTGATGCTGAACATCTGCTTTCCTTCTGGGACTCTGGAATTTGGTGTGTCTCAGGCAGAGGCTGCCATGTGAGCATTCTCCAGTCAAAATCCCGGGTACTGAGTCTCCCACAAGCTCCCCTGGCAGACAACATTTCACACGTTGTTGCAACTCATTGCTGGGGGAATGAAGGGCATCCTGTGTGACTTCTCTAGGAGAGAACCCTTGGAAGCTTGTACCTGGCTTCCTCCAGAGTTTACCCCATGCATCTTTTCTTTTGCTAATTTTGCTCTGAATCCTTTTAATAAATTGTATTTGTAGGCCAAGCACATTGACTCACACCTATAATCCCAGTGCTTTGGGAGGCCAAGGGCAGAGGATTGCTTGAGGCCAGGAGTTCGAGATGAGCCTGGGCAACATAGCAAGACAGCAAGACTCCACCTCTAAAAAAGTGGGGATTTTTTGCTTGTTTTTTTTAATTATCCAGGCACGGTGACATGCACCTGTGATCTTAGCTCTTTGGGAGGCTGAGGTGGGAGTATTGCTTAAGCCCAGGAGTTCAAGGCTGCAGTGAGCTGTGATTGTACCACTGCGGTCCAGGCTGGGCAACAGAGGGAGACCAGGTCTGTTTAATAAATAAATAAATGGTAGCTGCAGGACTATGGGCTGAGTCTTATGAGTTTTCCTAATAAGACACTGAATTCAGAGGTCGTCTTGAGAACCCTGACACGGAGCTATTACAAGAAGTCATACGTATGTTGGAAAGACTATTCATTTGCACATCTGCAGCTGAAGAAAAAAGAATAATTAAAACAGATTTGGACGCCAATGATTGGTGCTTGGTGCTAGGTGCTAGGGCAAAATATTACTAGAGATTTGTGGTATACTGGGTAACTCTGAATGACTTCCAGTTACATTCTGGACTTCATGAAGGCTCATCATCTAGGGATTAAAACCTCACATTCATTTATTTACAATAAACCCCTGTTACTCAAGGTAAGCCAAGCATGTCTCTCTTTCCTAAAAAAAAAAAGCCCAATTAATAATTGCCAAAGAAAATCACATAAACAGGTAAAGTGATCCCATTACCAGTATATGGTTTCCAACCTCAATAGAGCTTTTGTGATAACCTGGAATTTTTTTTTATTCTTATTAATCAACCTTTTGCATTTTCTTAGCATAGCTTCTAACTTCAAGCTTCAACCCTGTCCTTACAATTCTTTACAGAGGAACTTGATCTCTAAATAGAATGCAATCCATTACAGGGATGTTGTCTACCTTCAAACCTACCTGCAGGTACCCTAATCTAAATGCCTGATCTCTAATTACACAACAAGAATTATCCCCTCCAAATAAAATTGAAGACTTGCTTTCTACATTGATTCATATATCATTCTCTCTTGTCCAAGCCCTGACTCTCTTCCCTAATATCTTTCATCTTTCCTTTCTACAGCGTCTTTCTTCTATGTCCTCAAAATATTCAAGACTCTTTTACCCTAAAACAACAAAACAATACAAAAAACAACAAATTCTTCATTTGACACAAGATACCACTCTGCAAAAATTTTGAGAGATGTTCTATATTTAGTCTTCATTTGCCTCAGTTTTACTCATTTTTGGTTTCCGCCCCACAATTTTATTCAAAGAGCTGTTAACTGCAGAGTCCAGTGGCCACTTTTAGTCCTAGTAAAGCCTGTATTTGACTCCATTATTCACTTTAATTCTTTCTTTTTTTAAATTTTTTTAAAGACAGGGTCTTGCTCTGTGGCCCAGTGGCACCATCATAGCTCTGTAGACCAGTGGAGCTCCTTGCAGCCTTGAACTCCTGGGCTCAAGCAATCCTCCCACCTCAGCCTCCCACCTCAGCCTCCCAAGTAGCTGGGACTACAGGTGTGCACCACCTCACGCAGATAATTTTAAAAAATATTTTGTTGAGATGGGGCCTCGCTATGTTGCCCAGGCTGGTCTTGAACTCCTGACCTCAAGCAATCTTCCCACCTTAGCCTCCCAAAGTGCTGGGATTACAGGCATGAGCCACCATACCCAGCCTCACTTAGTTCTTAAATTTTTGTTCTCCCATCCATTCCCAAAACTCAAGCTTTTTTGCTATTCCTCTGCCTTCTCTCAGACCTCAGCAACTTCCTCCTCTTCTGCTTGCCTTGCTGTAATCGAGGCCTCTTAGGTCCTCCTCTCCTGCTACATGAGGCATCTACCCCTGTGCTCTCCAATTCCCCCCAGAGCTCCTGGGCCACACTCTCCTAATAACCCCTAGCCCTGTGTTTCTCCAGCTCACTGTCTCTCCAAAGCATCAGGCTTCAGGCTCATCCTTTCAACTGCTCCCTGGATATTTCCACTGTGACAAAACTTTATGTCTACAATTAAATCCAGTAGGTATTTTGTTCCTAAGATGAGTGCCTATTCCTTTATTCTGGATCTGGCTAATGATATAACATCCTTTTTCATCTAAGCTGGAAGATTAGAAACATACATTCTTGACTTCTTTTTCTCCCCCCCACACAGCCAATTAATCACCAGACCCTACCAGCACCTGCTTCCCCATTCCCACAAAGCTTTGTCAAACTTTCCTACTCTTCTGCATCCCTATACTATGTCCTCAATGTATTCCCTAACTATCCTACTAGAAAATTGCAAGAACTTCCTTTCCCTGCTCTTCTTGCCAGCCCCACTCCCCTCTATAACCCATTCTCTACAAAGTCATTAGAGTCATCATTCTTAAAAGCAATCTGGAGCTTGGGCTTTTGAACCAGATTGCCTAAATTTGAATCCTGACACTATTACTGTCTTACTATTGATACATAGTCTAGGGTAAATATGTAGCTATTCTGTGCCTGTCCCCTTTGATAGAATAAAACATGAATAATAACTATGAAATGATAACAATAACTATTAAATTAGTTAATATAGCTAAAGTGCTTACAACAATGTCTGGCATTTAGTAAGTGATCAAGAAAATATTAAACTCATTCTTTGTCTGAAAAACTGTTACATCTCTTTTAATAAGAAATAAAATATGCAACATCTGCATCAAGATGCTGCACTTCCCTCTAAAAGAGTAACTGCTCCCTTATCTGGGGACTTAAAGTTCATGATTTCTCATTTTTATCTTAGATTATATCACATCTAAGGACTCCTTAAAAAGAATATAAGTTCTAGATCAAATGCATCTCAGTGTTCCCACAATTAATGAATAAATCAATGAGTGAAACGTTTGATGTAGGCCATTTTATCAAGGTCCAAATTAATTATTACATTTTTCTGATGCACTGGGAGTAGAAAAGTATCAAGGAACAACATCAAGCTAAACAAACAAATATCAAATGAGAATGTAGAAACAAATAGCCTATAAGTATTTAGAATAAACAGATAGGACCTCTCTAAATCTTTCAGTATTTAAAGCATGAGAGGTTTTAAAACTACTGTTAGGGCAACAACTGAAATACTAATGTAAATATTTATTGAGCATCTACTGTATGAAGGGCAACCTATTAGATTTTTCTCACAGTACTGAAAATATAATTCGATGAATTAAAAAGGAATAAACAAATCCCAACAAAAGGTGAACCATCAGTGATATAGTAAATGGCCTCAGAACCTTTTATACTTTAGGCCTATATTAACACTGATGGGAGGCATCAGGTCAGGCTTCATGGGAGAAGCCTAGTATTTGCTGAAGACTTGAAAGATGAGTGTGATGTGAACAGAGGCAAAGGCAGAGAAACAGTGTTCCAGAAAGAGGAAGCAGCATATTAAGGGTATATTAGTATAACACTGTTTGTCAAGCTCAAACCTTACTAGTGGTCTGATAAGGTAGGAGATCAGACTTCTTGTGAATAGGCCCAAATGAGAGTGAAAGTGACAGGGAGGTGCTCGTATCAGGAACTTTAACCCTAGTCCACGTATGAAATAGTAGTTAGCTCACCTGGAGCATCTTTGCGTATGATTCACTTTGGAGAAACCATTGGAAGAAAATTAACTGAACATAACCTGAAATAACTCTCCCCAAATGTGGGGGAGAAAAGTAGTTCAGCTAGCAGAAAAACAGTGGAGACATTTTTGGGTTGTTCCTTAAAGCACAAATTGACAAGAGACAATTTTACCGAAGATAGAACAGGCCTTAATATTTAAGCAAAACATTCAAAATAATATCCCACTGACTGAAGGCAGGCAGGCATTACAAACACAAACTCATAACATGAAATGCTCACAGGGATAGTTAACATCACCCTCCATGGGCCAGTCTCATTCAGTTGGTCTCACAAATTTACAGTCAGTGATTCCAAGCAGAAAATTCATTAAAATCAGGAAATTGCTTAATTAGTTTAAAGTCACAAACACTTCTAAAAATAAATTTTTGGACTACATAAATTCCAAACAAATTCATCACAATCAGAACTGTTGCAGTACACCTACAATGACTAGGAAATTAATTCACAATAATGACATGTCAAATTGTATGTTTCTTAACTTGTTTTACCTCCTTCTAAAAAGAACCTACTTGTTTTAAAGAGTGTTGTATTTCTGCCCATCCTCAGTTGCAATAATTGTGTCAACTTGAGAGCATGCTGACTTATTGCCAACTTATTTTGTCCTCTCCTTTATTGCCAAAATATGCTTGTAGATGTTATTGTAGACTCTTCCATGATAGGGATGCCCCAGCGTGTTTTACGAACCTGATACTGAGTCTGGTTCAATTGTAATGTGTTAATTTACCCAAGCTCAATGCTTTTCTAGAAAATGTGTATGAAAACCTACACATTTATGCTTCAAAGTGAGCTGTGATGCCAGAAAAAAAATCACACTTTATTAATATACTGAAGTTGTTATTCCCATGGACATTCATCGTAGAAAATTAGAACGCACATGAACAGTGAAATAGTGAAATGTTATGACCACAGACAATCTCTACTACCAAGGCCCTCTGATCTTCCTCCACAGCCACCCACACCTTTCAGAAGAGCTTGATCTCCCCAGCACTCATTCAATTGAATTTGAAGTAACAAATATACCCCATGAGATACAAGTTCAAGTTGCTCCCGGCACACAAATAATGAAACAAGGCCAATCTAGAGCAGAGCAGGGGAGAGTATCCTGAACGCTAAAAATAACCAAAGCCTAATATAAATACAGTTAGTCGATTCCATTTAGTTTTCTCCATAAAGCTGGGAAAAAAACCAACAGTCGTTTAATAGAATCCTAATGTTTCTCGAATGTAAGACCTCATTTTTACCATCTTCCAGGATCACCAGTGGGAGGCAAAACATGACCAAAGGAAACAGGGAAAACCATAAAGGCTGTAATGATTTGCTTCTCTTCCCATCTCTGGAAAGGTTTCCTAACAGAGGTCACTATTTAAAGGACAGCACTGAGCAGCAGCCACATGAGCAATTAGTACAACATACATACACAATTGATTATACCCACATCACATGAACACATGCCATCAACGTTCAACCTTAAAGCAATTTGTACAACATTTCAGGAACTGGGGGGGATGGGTGGATTGAGTGAACAGTAACCTCAGTGATTCACTTGAACATCACGTAGTTTTTGTCTTTAAAATCGTATTGATCTAGTTGGATTCTAAATAGCTAATTTAGTATGTACATTAATGATTATCATATTAAAATAGTGATCCTGGCCTGGCGTGGTGGCTCATGCCTGTAATTCCAGCACTTTGGGAAGCCAAGGCAGGTAGATCACTTGAGGTCAGGAGTTCAAGACCAGCCTGGCCAACATGGTGAAATCCCATCTCTCCTAAAAATTAGCTGGGCGTGGTGGTGCGTGCCTGTAATCCCAGCTACTCTGGAGGCTAAGGCAGGAGAATCACTTGAACCCAGGAGGCGGAGGTTGCAGTGAGCTGAGATTGCACCACTGCACTCCAGCCTGGGTGATGAAGCGAGATTCCATCTTAATATAAAGAAATAAAAATAAAATAAAATAACGATCCTAAGCGTTCATATACTGTCCACATAAATCTGAGAGACATTCTTGATCAGTAGAATTTCAGTGAATAGCAAGTGAATTGGCATGCAGATACAAGAAGAAAACATGTTACCTATTATTTTAGGTTTTCGGGCCTGAATTCATTTAGTATTTAATTTACAGTAATAGTATTCATAATTAATTATATTACTTATTATAAGATTTTCAGGAGTTAGTCACAAAGCATTTAGAGGGTTACTTTCTTGACACTGATGTTCAGGAATATTTCTATAAAGCAAATTTGTAAAATGAACAAGTAAGTTTCTGCAAAGATACAGAATATTTAAGGAAAAATATTTCTCTTAGAATCATTTTTGTGCTTTATGTAAAAAAGTAAAAATAAACATGGAGTATTTTATCAGTTCTCAATTTTAAGAAAAGGTCAAATATTTACTTACAGGCAATCTAGAAGTCAAAAGAATGAAATTCCATCACCAGCCTGCAAATTAATAACAACAACAAAACCTAAGATTATATGATTTTACTCAGGCCACTTAATTGGACAAACAGAAAAAACATGATTATATAATTTATGATTGAATAATATACATTTATATCATTGGTGAATGATAAATAAGAATAATAACATTAATTCTTATTTCCAAAGATGAAACTGGAGCATATCATAAATCTACCTTTTTTCTTTGTTTTTAAAAAGCACTATTCCACATACTACAAAGCAGTTCAAGCTGTCAATATGATTGCATGTACACTGAGGAAAACAACCAGAAGATTAATACAATAATTGAGAATTTTTAAGGAGTGGAATTGTATTTGCAACTAGCATCAACGTGTATTTAGAAACTCAGTTAAGATCACAGGGAAAATGATATACTAAGTCATTGTGGGTTTCCAACTAGTTTTCACGAGTTCTTGTGTCTAGGTCCTAATAGAAGAGAATCTATAGCTTCTCAACAGCCACTGATGTAGCATTTGTAGTTTGGGTTTCACTAAGCCACTGAGGTGTCTCATTGATGTAAGCTCTGCTGTTTTGAGACTCTACCCAGATGCTCCAATTTTGCTTCAGTGACTCAGAGCTGAGTCTGAATGCCTCAAAGCATGGGTAAAAAGAGCTATGATCAAGGCAGGGTTGGAGTGGCAGTGAACCAGTGTCACCTGCACTGACTTACAATCCTACAAATGGTGTGAAAACAGCATGGTGGTCTTGATTGGACACTCATATGGCTAAGGGCCAAATGGAACATAAGTGAATTCAGGTGTGTTTCTTTCCCATTATCTTTTCTTATCTATATCATAATGACTCAGTATACAACAATTTTATAATAGATTACAGATCCTTCCATAAAATATATGTTTTTTCATAGCAGACACTCTTCTGAGTGTTGTCTGTCGTGCATTTAGAGGTGTCTGTGCTTATATACGTATAATATGTAAACATCCTTAAGTTGACCTACATGCGTCATCAAAAGATCTAGCACTGGGTTTTGTTAAATTTATTGTTTCCTTTATCCATGGAAATTATTATGAACCTGCTGATACACAAAGCAGAACCACAGATCTTTCATGTAGGAGGAGTCTTCCAACAATAAGATGAGCTTTTAAATGGGTAGCAGCTTTTGTGCAAGCTGTATGTCAAGATACTTGACAGAGTTAAGTAATACAATTGTAAAGTTAAATAACAGAAGGGAGAGGCAGTAAGAGGCAAAGAAAAGATAGAAAATTCGTGTTTTCAGATGAGAACTGTGAGGAGGAGGAGAGTCATCTGAGTAGAGAGACATAAGAACCCTCTACAGTTAACAGAAGCTGAAGAGAAATTGATTTGGAAAGAATAGGGGCATAATCATGATGTTGAATAGCGCATTCAATAATGAGCCTGATTCTTGGAAATGATGATCTGAAGGTGGAGCCAATAACTCTGAGAGTGACGCACACCATAATTTCCTCAGAAATAGAGCTACTCCTTACCCCTAATGACAACAGTCTACATGACATAGTTTCAGAAGGCATGTTAAGTATGAAAATGAAGGCAAGAGGTGAATTTGGAAGTCTGAGGGGTGCATGAAAGTGATGGAATTTCAGGAGAACACTGAAAGCAACTCAGGATCAACAGCAACGTTAGAATGTGATGATGATGTGAGAGCCCATCTGGGTGCAAGGCAGCTTCATGTAGGTTGACACTTTGCAAAGCCGTCCATGAAGAGGTCCCCGAGAATGGGGGGAAGATAAATTAGAGAACTTAAAAGTGGTGCTGATTTAGTGACAGCATATGTTTTAACATACATCAAGTAGGAAGTTAGGAAGTCTCACTTTTGGACTCTCTTTTGATGTTAAAATTCTTTGCTTTCACAGTCAAACCTAGCAGTGATCTTCAATAGCAGCCTAGCATAGGAGGCAGATGACTGGAGCAGTGCTGTACACACTGAGGATGTTCACCCTATGGGAGACGTGGTAGGTGTGAGCAGCCGCAGAACTCACAGCTCAGCATGCTAGAACATATCATCAGCCCTCCTGTAATGCATCCCTGAGCTTCCTATTCTCACAAAGCGTACTTCTGATTTCTCATCACAACACCTCTCCATCCCTCTCCCTTTCCTGGCTTCGTCTTTCCTTCTGAAGAGGTTTCCACCAGCCTGTCTATACCACTGTGCTGAGCAGCTTCATCAGAACAAACCAACTCTTCTCAGTGTAACCTAGGCTTTGGCATGCTAAGAACATAAACACTGTTTCTTGATTTTGTCCATTCTTCCACGTACTCACAGACACAGACCCTCTAACCCACCCCTTCCAACTCACACCCATATATGCATACATATCTTCTCCCCTGGACAGTTTGCTAAACCAAATAGGAGGAAAGAGATGAGCTAGCCTGGGTATGGGACTCAACACAAATAAATCAATCTCAGCCAATATTGTAATATATTTTTACAGTATTGTATATATGTATATAATACATATGTATATATAGTACATATATACATATATAGTACATATGTATACGATATACATATGTATACTATATATGCATAACACCCAATAATATATATATGCATGTGTATATATGTATACACTCACAACATCCAATAATATGTATATGTATTTGCATATATATGTATGTACCTACATACACACAACATCCAATAATATATATATAATTTCTTGAGTGTAAAATATTCCAGGATTGCACTTTAACTTTCATTTTTCTAGTGTGGGGCACTTGGAAATTAGCCAGTCTAAGTTTATATTTTGTTTCAGAATCACATTGCCTAACCCTTCGACATAGAAGAATTGATTCAGTGGGAACCTTTGTGTCACAGAGAAAAGAGCACCATCTATCTGGGGTCTGTTATTTGTCTCAATCGCATAGATTGTTTCCATTTTTTAAAATTAACAGAATGGTGTCTGGCATCTGCCAAATATAGTTCTGACAAACAGGAAGGCTTGAGTGAGAGAAGCTGGCACGTGGATTCAGTACTGGTTTCGTCAGGGCCAGCTACATTTCATTCCAATGACATAGTGCACTTCTCAGCTTGCCTCGCCTTATTGAGTGCCTCTAACACCTTTACCTGAATCTGCAATTTTAAGTTATCCTTTTTAGATTTCAGTCCCCTTTACATCTTGGCCTCCACAGTCCATCATCCACCAATTGTACTGTACCCATCTGGTGAACTTCCTATAATTCATTCATTCATTTATTCATTCACCTCTGAATTAGGCATGCGGGCTGAAAAAAGTCATATCCATACTTTCTGTATATAATGAGTTTATGATCTAATTGTGAATCCAAGATATTTTCTCATGAAAAGTTAAAAAAAGGCAGACTATGAGTAAATTCCAAATGAATGATACGGCGCTACAGAAGTTCAGAGGAAGTAGGAATCACTGTGATTTAGAGTAGTTCATTCACTCATTCAGTCAGCACAAATGTAAATTGTATCTGGCACTTGTCTAGATGCTGGGAATACTGAAGTTAAAAAAAAAGCCAAGCCATATATAGTTTTCAGTTGAAGGGATATATATATATATATATATATATATATATATATATATATGTATGTATGTATGTATAATGTTAGATAGCAATACTTGCCAAGAAAAGAATATAATGCAGGCAAGGGTAATAAAAATAGTTAGGGAGAAATATGATTTTTCGACGGATGGCTAGGAAAGTTTTCCCTGAGAAGGCATTATTTGACAAAAGACCTACATGAAGTGACAGAGTGAGCCACATGAATAGGTGGGGCTCAGAGCACACACAGAAGCCTTGAGATGGAGGCTTCCCTGGAGTGCTAAAAAACAAAAGAAAATAAAACTAACAAACTAAAAAAACAAAACAAACTAAAATGGCAGTGAGTGAACAAGGGAGAGACTATTTGAAGATGAGGGCAGAGAATATTGGTGCTTATCATGGAGTGGCGTGCTGGTTCTAGTACAAATGTTGACTTTTACTTAAAACTAGATGTCTTTGGAGGGATTTAAGCAGAAAAGTGGCATGCACTGACTCCTACTTTGGCAGGATTACTCTGGGTGGTGTGTTGAGAATGACATTGGGTTCAAGAAAACACAATCCAGGAAGACCAACCAAGAAGCTACACTGTTACGCCAGGGAACTGATGATGGTGGTTTGGAGTAGGGTGGTAGCTGTGAAGTGATGAGAAGTTTTCAGATTCTGAATGTATTTTGGAACATAGAACCAAAATATTTTGCTGACTAATTGCTTGTAGGATGAGAGAAAAAGAAGTATCAAGGATGAAGCCAAGATTTTTGATCTAGGCAACTAGAAAACTAGATAAATCAAGATATCTTTAACCAATTAGGGAAGACTGGGGAAGGAGCAGGTTGAATGCAGCAGGGGTAAGGGTTTTCAGATTTCAGTTTTGCCTCTGCTAAGGTTGTCAGCTAGCTGTTCAAGTGGACATGTTGAATAGGTAGCTGGACATACAAGACTGGACTAGAAGAGGCCTAGGATTGCAATACAACCAATCTTATCAATCAGCCGGGAGTTGTCAGCATTTAGAACCCATGCCACTGGATAAAACCAACAGGAATGGGAAAATAGACTGACAAGAATAGAGATCCAACATTGAGCATAGCAAACAATCCAATGTCTGAAAGTGAGAATGGTGGAGGAATAAGCAAAGGGCCTTGGAAAGAGCATTTGGAGAGGCAGGAGGCACGCTGTGTGGGTGTGATGTCCTGGAAGCCAAGAGCAGAAAGAGATTTAAATAAGTAAGCCTGCTCTAAAGTGTCAAATGCTGCTGAGAGTTCAAGGAACACGGGTGATGAAAGCAGTCTCTTCTATTTAACAAAGCAAATGTAGTCAACCAAGTGCACTTCCTCTTTTTCCTGGATACAGAGCTAGACTATAGTCCTCAGCCTTCCCTGGGGCTTCAGTGTGGCCGTCAGCTTGTGCTTTGAACAATGAAATGAATGGATGTACTGTGTACTCATTCCAGGCCTCGCCCATACAAACCACCCAGCTGTAACTCCCCTGTCTTTCCTACATCCAGATGATAGGGGTAAAATGCCACCGGTGACCTTGGAAAACATGTCAGATGACACAGTCTTCAGCTGCTTGGGTCCTTGAATGATCAAAAGGAGAGAAAATACTTTGGCAACCTGTTCCCCCACTCAAACTGGACTTGTAATAACAACAGTGAAAAACATGGACTTACATATTCAGGTTTATTTTTCACTGCAGCCTAGGTTATTCTACCTTACACTGCAACCTTGATAAGACCATTTTTGCTGGCATGGTGGAAGCACAAAGCTTACTGGGATTGGCAAAGTTAGAATGGGAGAAGAGGAACTAGAGATAGCCAGTGTAGACAGACAACTGTCAGGTTGAGTTTTTCTTACAGAATAAGAGAAGAGGAAAATGAGGTCAAAGAGGTATTATAAGATTGAAGAAATAATGACAATTTTGATAAGGATGGTGGTAATCCTCTAGAAAGACAAATACTAATGATAAAGGAGAATTGCTAAGATATGTCTTTGAGTAGATGAAAGGATGGAATTCTGTGTATGAGTGGAGGGCTTGGCTTCAACTGGGAGCTTGGATCTGTAGAAATGGGAAAAAACATGGCACACGAGGGGGCAAATGTAAGTAGGTGAAAAGGCGATGTGATTGGAGCGTGTGTAAACTCCCATCTGATTCCTTCAGTTTTCTCGGTGCAATGGAAAACAAGCCCAGTGATGGCTAATGGAGAAGTAAAACTTGAGTTGGGTCTTAGATATGCCTTGGGTTGGGATAAATGAAAAAGACATGAGTTAACAATGACTAGAAAATAGAAGCAAAGGTACAAAGGTAAAAATAAGCAAAGCACCTTCAGGGATATTGAGAAGGTAAGTTCACCTGGCCTAGAATTCTCGGGAACCAATGAAAGGTAAGGAAGGTAGGTAAAATGTATGCAGTTTATGAAGAGTACTTGAAGAGCAGCTTGAATTTCCACTCAGGAAACTGTTAAAAGAATGCTTTAGGATGTAAAATATGAGTCCCAGGCTTGGCTCTGTTACTTGTTTTCAGTGTATTTCTCTGAAGTTGACTGGATAAGATGAACTTCAAAGTCCTTTTTAGCTTTGCAATTTTATGATATTACTTAACTTACTCTATGGCAATAAAAATTCTTGTAGGTTTTTGAGTTGTATGGTGTGCATATTATAATTGATATTTGTTGGGTTTTGTCTGGATAAAAAACAATAATTCTAGCACCCATTCCCTCACATTCTGGTGAAAGCACCCTCATTTCCCACTGGGGAAGCACTCCTCTGCTACTCAGTTAATGTAGTATAATAATGGCACCCATCGCATCTAGAGGAGAGCATGTATGTGACCCATATTGATCATCCTGCATTTTTGTTTCTTTTGCTACAATTGTACCAGGAATGTCCACATGAATCAAACCAGGATAATAAGATGCAATCGGGATTTTACAGAAATTATTTAAAACAGAATTTCTCTTTTCACAGAAGTTGATGAACTAGTAGAAATTAAACCTGGGATTTTGGTAGTTATCTTGCTGTCACCTGGAAGATAGCAGACCTGAGAATCAAGCTCAAGGAACCTAGAGAAGGAGGCAATCAAAATTTTTATGATAACACTTGAACACCTGCATTCAGATGCACAGTAAGCCAAATCTCTACCAGTAATTCTCATTTTTTAAGCCCCAAGTGAAACTGTACTGCCTTCTCACATTTTTATTTTCCTTAAGTGAACTTGAGTTAGAATTGTGACACTTTTGGCCATAGGAATTCCAAATAAGATAAATATGAGCAAAATCTGTTTAATAAAGAATATTCTGGTCTAATGTGTAGAATGAAAGGAAGGAAGACAGTAGAGATAGGGAGATCTGATGGAAAGATAACACAATAATTCAGACACAGAGTAATATAGGTCTCCTGAGACAAGTGACTGCCAGAAGGAAAAGGAGCTATATGTTGTGGGAGAAATGTGGAAATGATTTCATGTTTGGATATCATATGTATCATAGATGACTTAGAGCTTTGCATCTGTGCAATTGGGAGAAGAGTCAGTAAGGAGGATGATTCAGTTGCTAAGAAGCTTGAGGTAGCCAGACGAGTTACGTGACAACACTGAGATCCACAGGGCAGGAGACGGGGGTTATCAGAGTGACAGAATTCCGTATGTGCCCCGGTGGGAGAAGAAAATTATTCTGAACTACTTCAGAAATTAGTTATGGTAAGAGACACAGAATTATCTTTTCATGCTGCCAGTGGATTCTTAAAGGAAAAAAAGGATAGAGAGAAGGGAAGAGGAAGGAATGAACTTCAGCAGCTTTTAACAATCTTAAGATCACTGGCATCTACACACATTGCTCTGTGATATGGAAATACAAAAGCCCAGTTAACTCCTTATGCTTAAAAAATATCTAAAATCAGGATTACCCCCTCAGGCTTCTATTTCAATCTCTGAACAGTTAATCTCCCCAAAGATTCCTTGGATCAGATCACTACACTATGCACTTAAAGTGAGTTTCCCAGCAGCTTTTAAAATCTAGTCCCCTCATCTGTTTGGCTCTGAAGCACCTCGTGGCATGGCCTTATTTTGCCTTTAAAGCCTCCTCTGCCACGTCACTATCTGTCGCAGTCTGTTCCATCTCTCTGTGGCCCCCAACATGACACTATCCTTTGCTTTTTCTCAGACTCTTCCTGGAGAGGCTTCATTGAGTGGTGTGACCACAGTTGGGTGCCAGACTGCCAGGTTTGACCCAGACTCTGCCTCTTCCTAAAGGTTTTAAAGTTCTCTATGCTTTGATTTCCTTGTCTTCAAAATGCACTAAACAGTAGTAACTACCCTCATGGGGGATGACAATGACATGACAATATACATATATTTATACATAAACCTAGCACACTGCCTGCACATAGCAAACATGACAATAATCATACGCTGCACACATTTGATCTCTTCTCTCTTCTTTGCTTCATTCAACCCATTTTCTCACCTCTCCCATTTACTCAATTGTGTTCTCTTATTTCTCTAAAGTCGTTAGAATGACGCCTTTTAGGATGGGAACTGTGCATTATTTTATGTGGACTAAACTTTCTCTCCGCTCATTCCACTTCATTTGCGAAATTCCCATGGATAGGAACTCCTCTCGGTATTTCAGTGTTTCTGAATTGCTTCTGTGCCTTCTCATTTTACATTGGTATAAAACACTGCAGAGGGAGGACTCTTTCCTAGGAAGGATGCTACCAATCTGTAGGACAGGCCAGGGACTGGGGTTATGTTTCAGAATGGGGTGAATCTGGGAGCAGGCACTGCCACAACTCCTGCCTCTGTGAGCATGTCAAAAGCAGTGCCGAAGCCTGAGGCTGGCCTCTCAGGGAGGCGGACGATTAGGAAGGGGTTAGGGAATGAAACAACAACATCAGTGGGCAGGAAGGACATCAGCCTCTTCTGGAGCAACTCTGCCTGAAAGTGCAGCAGGTGGTCCAGACTGGGGTGTGGAGGAAGGAGGAGAGGTCACGAAGAACTGGGTTGGTGGGTAAGGCGGTCCTCAGACATGTGGATCACGTGCCTCATAAATGCCGGGGATGCTTCATTCTAATGGGAAGCATCAGCTTTTCATACAAGTCCGCACCACTAGGAAAAGTTGCTGTTTGTTACCTAACTCTGGAGGCAGGACATGGAAAAGAAGTTGTCCAGAATGCATTTATGATTCCCGTCTCCTATATCTATTATATTGTAGCACAAATTGTAATGTTAAAATAGCAAAGCATTTGACTCTGTTGGTCAAGACTCGTATACTTGCTAATACTTGGTAAGTATCAAATGAAGGCTATAATTTATGGAAATTAGTCATGAGTTGGTGTCAAATTGGAAATTCCCCTGTCCATTAAGCAATCTTTAAAAAGTACCATCTTCCATTTTGGAAAGATTTGCAGAGTATAAATCCCCTATTTTGTAATTCCAATATTTTTAGGTTGCTTAATGGAAGTCAACTGTAGTATATTGGAATTCATATTAGTTACATTTTAGAGGTTGAGAGTTTGCATTCTGATTCTACAGAACACTGGTTGGGGGTCCTTATTGAAGTCAATCCATCTCTCCTAGCCTCAATTTCTCATCTGTAAAATGGAGTCAATATACCTTACTTCATATGGCTGTAATAGTTGAACAAGGTAGTAAACATGGAAGAGCTGTATATACTGCAAAGCACCATTCAAACGTGTAGCACTATTATTTTTGTTACAGGACAATAATTAGAAATAAAATGTTCACTTTCCTTGGTGAAACCTAATGGTTTCCAATTTTTCTTATAAGTATAATTGCTTTTAAAATAACTTTTAAGAAGTAGGAAATTATTTTCCGTGAGAGAATATAATATAGTAGATAAAACTTATGGACCAGCCAGTGTTTAAAAGCATGAAGTCAGATAAACTAGGTTCTTTTTTTTTTTTTTTTGATGCAATCTTGCTCTGTCACCAAGGCTGGGGTGCAGTGGTGTGATCTCGGCTCACTGCAACCTCTGCCTCCTGGGTTCAAGTGATTCTTCTGCCTCAGCCTCCCAAGTAGCTGGAGCTAAGGTGCGTGCCACCATGCCTGGCTAATTTCTGTATTTTTAGTAGAGATGGGGTTTCACCATGTTGGCCAGGCTGGCCTTGAACTCCTGACCTCGTGATTCGCCTGCCTCAGCCTCCCAAAATGCTGGGATTATAGGCATGAGTCACCGCATCCAGCCAGATAAACTAGGTTTTAAATCTCAGCTTCACCAATTACTACCTGGGTGGCTTTGGGCAAATTACTTATCTAATACTCATTGATAAAATAGTAATACTGCTACTCTGGATTGTGACTGTAAACGAGGTGATCTATGTAAAATGGTTACAGCAGTATCTGACACAAGTTGCATCCCTGCTGAGGGGTACCCTCTACTGTTAACAGGCGAAATATCAAGGATGCTCTAGAAACCTAGATGCTCGTTGAAGCTCACATAGAACATGAGGCTAACTGGAGACCAAGACATCTGAGTTAATTTTAGGCTTTTAGAAATGTGTCATGAAACCCCACCTATCTTGATAAGAGGTCACCCTCTGAGCATCCACAGATATCAATAAATTAGAAGGGATGTTTTACCCCATTGCTTCTAAAGGCAGATGAGGCCTGGGATTTGGTAGCAGGGAAGGGGAGCAGATGGTCTGGAGTATGAACAGGCCTAGAAGGAGTGCCACATGGAAAGGGAAAATGAGTCTATAATCAATTGCAACATGGTCGTTTTATCTTCTGCTACCTGTGCTGTGGGTAATATACACTATGAAAGGGACTTATTCTGAATGAGTTGAAATAGTATCAAAATAAATAAAGTACAGGTGGACAAGTACACTCTGTTTTGTGGACAACTGAGTATATAAAAACCCACTATTGAAGCTGATAAAGTTGGGAACCAGTGTTTGCCTTATTAAAAGTCTCCCACGTTATACAAAATGGATTAACCTCAGGGTGCTTTTACTTATGGAATTTCCCAATGCTACTTTAGAATAAAATTCAATGGCCAAAAATAAAATGCATGGACTGCCTTCCAGATAACCTTCACTATTGAAAATTAGTTACAATAGATGATTAGTTTCTTGTTAGACTGAGAGTCGTAGAAAACCTTCTTTATGTTAGAACAGTTGTGTTGAGTTGTCTCTCTTGTATACCCCATGGTTTGCTCTCCCTCCAACAGTAGAAAGAATACTGTGCTTGGTGATAAAATAGTTGGAAGACTAGAGGAAAGTGCTTTGAATTTTGTAAGCCTAACTATTTTAACCTGAAAGCTATTTACTAGAACACATTGTGCTTGCTTTACCCTTTTATGTTGAGATAAATAGTGTAATGCTTATGAAAAACTTCACAGAATCTTGTGTGTGTTGGTGAATTTTTCCATTATACTCAAGAGGAAAGACAAGAGTAGAAAAGCCATTTTTGACTGGGGCCGATCATTTGATCTTGATGTATGCTTTTTTTCTTCATTAACTATCAGTAAATTAGTTTTATGCATACAACCTGAGAGAGTTTTTGTGAAGTTTATCAAGGTAATATTTATAAACTTCCCGAAATCCCAAGCTGAAAGGCAAAATGTCACGTAATATTACTGGTCTAAAAACGAGACCTTTCTAAGCCTTAATTATAATTTTTAATTCCCTTACATTAAAGAATGGGAATCAATCAAATATAATGAGCAGTGACTAATTTGCACATTATAGCTTTTTAGGGCCAAAAACTGAATCACTCACTTCTTTTTATTTCTTCCACTGTATACAGCTATCAAAATTGTTGTTGATGATGATAGGATTATTGTAGCTATGACTACAATCTTACCATCATCATCATCCTGTAAGCAGTAGTTGTAATAGTAGTGGTGGTAGTAATAATAATAATAATATAATCATTCGTGTCTTGGCATACACCACTCCCTTTTCTGGGAATTATTGAGCAAGGGGATGTCATTCATGGTTTACTGACGGGGCTCAAAGCACAGCTCAGCATCAAGGAAGGGTAGCATTAGACTTGGCTACGTTCAGAGAAGCCAGAGTCTGAAGCAGGAATGCAGGTAATGAGACTAGGGTTTGAAAACCCACAGAGTACATGGGCACCGGTTACTGCCCTTCACAGACCAGGGCCAGTGATTTTATTTATTTGTTTGCTTGTTTGTTAATTATTTTTAACAACTTAAAGGTCCAGTAGGCCTATCTTGGTGGTCTTGCCCCTTAGGTAAAATCTCCAAGAGGCTTAAATTTTCTGCCCTTGTTAATACAACTATATTGTTCTTATTGGATAGAATTACCTCATTTGTTTGGGATCCAGTGGTAGCCGGTGGAAAATAGAAGAATATATTCTAGGGTGACTGGGGTGATTTGGAGGAGGAATCTGAAGTCATCAGGAATATAAACCATGTACTGTAGACTCGGATCTGAATATCCAGCACGTAGTATAGGGTAAAATTTATATCAGCTATAAACACACGTAGACATGAGATGCCATTCTTTGTCATCCTGCTATCTTCATTGGTGGCATCAAGTTCTGCAGGGAGGGATGGTTTGCCTCCAATTTCTTCTTAGATTAATGTCTCCAGGTTTTCTAACTTTTTGCATGGTAAATAATTTAAGCTGCTGAGTTGATTTCTCATATTTAGATTATGTTGTAGGGGTAAGCATGTAATTTACTGTCCAAACTAAGACACTTTCAAGAATGCAAAGAAGTGTGAGTGTCACTTGTGCCAAGGCAGTAGACATCTTGTCCTTCGGCCAACAGTTATGCGTGATCACCTTAATGTTGTGCCCTTAGATGGCAGGGGAGGCCACGCCTTGGGCCATTCTCTCCCAACACTAAATGCAGGTGGATTTTACTTATGTTCCCAAATAATTCTTTCTATATGGATTTTATAATAATTGAATCACACTTTAACTGTACTAAAGGATCTTGCTATTAAAAGAAACTGTATGGTCATTCCTATTGCAAATTGGATAATGGTAACTCCTAATTTCTCTTTTGTAAGCATTGTTATAGGTTGAAATTACTTAGCTCCTAGTACATCTATGTAAAACTGCCTAACAGTTCTCCAAAGAATATCTATTAATTAACTTTCTGACAAAACGTTTGGAGTCATCCTTTATTCTTTCCTTTCCCTCAAATCTTGCATCCTATCCATCAGCAAATCTAGTTGAGTATTCCTTTAAAATACATCCGGAATCTCACTACTCAGCACCCAGGACCAACGGGACCATTCCTTCTCACCTTGTTGACCCTGATGGGCTATAGTTCTGTCTCACCTTTAGAGACTATTCTTCAGAGATCATTTTCATCACAGATCAGAGCAGCATTCCTACTGGAAACCGTATAACATCTCCCATCACATTTAGAGTAAAATGAAATGTGGTTCCTACGCCTAAAAGTCTTCAGTGACCTAACCCTGGCTGCATTCCTCACCAATCCTACTTCTTTTCTTTTCACTATAGCATACCAAGCATGAGTCAGCCTTAGCACCTTTGCACTTGGTGACCACCCATATACTTGTATTGCTCACGCCTCTGACGTCATTTAGCTGTCTGGCCAAATATCACCTCTCCAGGGACATCATCCCAGATCATTTTATATAAAAGTCAAATTTCTCATTCCTTCTTGTTTTATTTTTCTTCATAGCGCTTACACACTTTTGATGTTACATATATGTATTTGTTTATTTTCTCTTTTTCTAAATAAGCCATATCCTCTTCAAAGGCCAGGGTTTTGTTTATTTGTTTTCTACTATATCTGAAACATCGATCTATGTGCTGGCATATAGCAGGCTTTGATTCATATTTGCAGGGTGAATATATAAATAAATGAATATGTATAAGGGTGTTCATATTAGGTCAAATCTAAAGTTGTAAACTTCAAAAACAGTAACAAGCATTAAAATCTTTTTCTCATTCAATCTTTTAGCCTCTACAAGGGAGGAGAGCAGTGAGAAAATGGCCAAACAAAGGAACTAGAGAAGTAAGCCAGTAAGTACTCAAGATTTGAAGGGAAGAAAGGAGAAAATGTACTGTTTGGATTATTTGAATATGAGGCTTTAATGAATGTGAGAGCGTTCTCATTGAATGCATTGTTCTTTTGAAAGAGCAGAAATTTCTGCTTTTCAACTCTGCTTAAAAGATGGGCTCCCTGCCATGCTCTAAATATTCCCAGATTAGTTCTTTGTTGGCTAATGGAAGGCAAGGCGTTTCCTAAGTGAGGGCTTTCCTTGGAAGAGTCCCTGCCTCTGGTTCCCTGTAGATGGAAGCTGGAAGCTAGGAGCAGCAGACCACCAGCTGATCTCAATTGCCCTGAAGTTGCCCAGGAAGGAAGACTGATCTCTCAGTGGTGAAGACCCAACCATTTAGTGCTTTATAGACCATAGACTATTGCACTCAGAAGCAAATAGGCAGGCGGTATTGAATGCACAGTACTGATGGAATGTGCTCCCTGCAGCTCCATCCACAGTAGCCAAACGACCCCACATTCTGCCCCGGCTGTAGCTTCTGGATATCTTCCAAGGGAGAGCAAGTCGCTTAACCCAAACAACAGAATGAAGTTGTACTAAGCCCAGTGTCACTTTCTAAGTTAGAAGCATACTTAGGTCCAGACCAATAATTGGATGGGAATCATGGAGTCTTATACCATTTAGAAATTATTTTTCATTAGGATGCCTCCCTGCCAAACAGTAAAGTTATTAATAATGCTGTAAACCTGCCAAATACATGTGGACTAGTTTGTTTTTTGAAAAATCAGAAATGCTCTTGCTAACGTCTTAACAAAGCTTTCAAAAGAACTTTACACACACAGTTTTAAGAGGCCAGGTGAAGTTATATTTTAAAATTTCCACAATTATATCATAATTTGCTAATTAATACACAACTTCTGTAGTTTTCCTATACTATTATTTTTACAACCCTATATATCAATGAGGATTCATACACGTGGTGATGTGGTGATATTTAAGTTTGAATGTAACAGTGCATTGATATGGAATCACTTTTCCTTTAATATGGGAAAAGTTAAAAAAAGTATCCTTCAAAAATGGGCAGAAGACTCTGTTACCATCCATGACTCAATGATCTCTTCATCATGTTTGGCTATATTAGTATCTAAATGCAGAAATAGGGCCAGGCACAGTGGCTCATGCCTGTAATCCCAGCAAATTGGGAGACAGAGGCAGGAGGATCCTTTGAGGCCAGTAGTTCAAAACCAGCCTGGGCAACACTGCGAAACCTCATCTCTATATAAAAATAATAACAAATATATACAGTAATAATATTATCCCCTTGTCTGATGCTTTCAATTTATGTTACTTCTGCATGTTAATAATCACAACAGCCTTGGGAATTCTTACCCTCCATTTGCAAAGGAGGAGACCAAGGCTCAAAGAGTTCAAATACTTAGGCCACAAATATTAAAATAGTGGTAGGGATGGGGCTGAGTTGCAAATCATCTGACTAATCTCCTCACTGTTCTGGGTCACCTTCTTCCCAGTGTTCACTGTAGCTCTGTGTCTGTTTCTCCTGGCATTTTTTGTTAATTTAATGTTTATTTATTTATTTATTTATTTATTTTTGAGATGGAGTTTCACTCTTGTTTGCCCAGGCTGGAGTGCAATGGCACAATCTCGACTCACCGCAACCTCCACCTCCCGGGTTCAAGCGATTCTTCTACCTTAGCCTCCCGAGTAGCTGGGATTACAGGCATGCGCCACCATGACCAGCTAATTTTCTATTTTTAGTAGAGACGGGGTTTCTCCATCTTGGCCAGGCTGGCTTGAACTCCTGGCCTCAAGTGATCTGCCCACCTTGGGCTCCCAAAGTGCTGGGATTACAGGCATGAGCCACCGTGCCCAGACCCACATATGATTTTTGAGCACTTGAAATTTGGCTAGTCTGAATTGAGATATTCTGTGAATATAAAATACATACCAGCTTTTGGCCAGGCGCAGTGGCTCACGCCTGTAATCCCAGCACTTTCAGAGTCTGAGGCGGGTGGTTCCATCATGAGGTCAGAAGATCGAGACCATCCTGGCTAACATGGTGAAACCCCATCTCTACTAAAAATACAAAAAGTTAGCCGGGCGTGGTGGCGGGAACCTGTAGTCCCAGCTACTTGGGAGGCTGAGGCAGGAGGGTGGCATGAACCCAGGAGGCGGAGCTGAGGAGCTTGCAGTGAGCCGAGATCACGCCATTGCACTCCAGCCTGGGAGACAGAGCAAGACTCTATCTCAAAAAAAAAAAAAAAAAGTACCAGCTTTTGAAGACATCATAAAAAAGAATGTAAACTATCTCATTAACAATTTCTATGTTGATTACATTTTAAAATAATATTTTAGAGGTATTAAGTATATATATTAAAATTAATTTCACTTGTTTTTTCTTGTTAAAATGTGGCTACTAGGAAATTTAAAATTACACATGCAATTTATAGTATATTTCTATAGGGCAATAGTGCCCTAGAGAATATCAGAGCTAAGACATGGTTTTGTCCTCAATAGAAGACAGACAAGGTTTATATATGTGAAACAGTGACGGGGGGCAGGTTGTATCTGCTTAAGTGACAAGTGATTGGTAAAAGAAAACAGCATTTCTGAATAAGCTCTAACAAGCGGGAGACCATTGTGGTTTGCAGTACTTGGGGGAAAGTCAGACATTGAGGGTTGCAAGTGAGCTTTGAATGGGATCAGTAAAGGGAGGGGATGGGACCACTGGCAGTGCCCAGCCAAGGAAAGGAAAAGAAGACCAAATGGTAATAGGATGATTAGAACCCTGGCTCTCCAATGATCACAGGAAGGGTAATTACTACCAAGGAATGAGAGGTTTTTTTTTCTGGTTTTCTCTCTAAATCCCTATTAATCAAATGGTGGCAAGTAAAATATGCAACATTTTAGGAGGCCCTGTGGCACATGCCTTTTATTCCTTAAAAGAAATCATATTTGTTAGCCACAAGTGGAGTTCTCTCTGCCTGGTTCTCTCTTTCAAATTCAATTTATCCAATTCCCTGCCACTGTCCCCCCAACAAAATCACCCTATCTGAAACAGCTTTGCAAATTGTTATGGGCTCTCAATGTGATATGGCTCATTGCTCCAAGCATTTGTCAAAATTTCTACAAGAGATAACCTAAGGATACAAAAATTAACACGTGCTAATTAATCACTGTTTCTAGTTTTGGTTATGAAATCAATAAGAAAAATAGCTCAATTTTTAAACTTAAATTAAAAAAGACATACCCAGAAGAGGTGTAACTGATAATCTGGCTTGTTTCAACATGAACATGTGCTGAAACCATATGTCAAAGAGAATACCAGAAACATCACCCATAAGAAATGTTTTGTTTTTAAATTTGGAATCAAAATGGTAGAGTGAAAGCTATATTTCATTCTACTCTGAGAGCGTCATCTAATTTATAGAAAACACCAAAATAACAAAGTTGTTTTTGGGTTATTGGCCTCTTAATCTTGTATATTAATTCAGGTAATGCACCAGTACCACTATCTTCTATTTAATTATTTTTATTTATGTACCATTAAGCTCCATTTTCACTACTTCGGGAGTATAAAAGAAGGACAAACCCAGGGTATTTGGGCAGTGCCATCACCTCATTTACAATCCTCAGAAGACCCTTTTATTGGTGAAGAATACAAATGACAGACGTTGACATTCTTTAAAAAGTCATTTTTACTTCTTTAATTAGGAGTTTCAGGCAGGCCCTTCTGCTTGAACCCTTAACATTTTCAGACACTTCTGCCTCACTTCTCAGCTGACTCTTCCTAAGTTTGTGCTGAATACATTCTTGATTTGCAAGAAAGCTGCTTTCAGGCCCTTTCATATTCTGCTATAATCCCTTGGTAATTACAAAGTCTTTCTCTGTAACAATAGGCAAATCCAGGAGGAATTTGGTAGCTATGCTCTGTACGTAAAGTTGTATTTGGACATCTCTGCTGAATTTGCCTCCCGCGGGCCCCAAACTTAGACAACAGTCCTGCTAGAAACGCCAAAAGAGAGGCACTCGAAGGCTTTTATGACAATAACTTAATGTCCGTGGAAAACACTGTTTAATAAAGTAGGGCAAACCAACTTTAAATGAAATAGCTCATTTACCAGTGGATAAATTCTAACTACAAAAGGCTTGGTATTAGGATAGCAGATTCCAAACTACTCAACCTTCCACAGATAACAATTTCTCACCCTAACAGGTTTCAAGCCACGGGGAGTTTGTACTTCTCTCCCCTCCTTTGCTCTCCTGTAATCATTTGCACACTTTTCCTCTTTTTTCTTCCTGTTTTTCTTTCAGTCACTGACATAAAACCCTTATTACAAATTCCGCACTGCTACAATCTCAAGAAGATCAAAATAATATTTGTCTACCTACTCTGTGTTTGGCTATTGCAATTTATCGTGTTACTAAGCATCACTAATTAGTCATAATTACTGATTTAGGTTGGAGTTTTATAACACGTGCTTTTCTTTTCTTTTGTTACATATCAAATGAAATATATGGTTCCCAGTACCTCGTTACTTTGCTACTTTAGAATATTTTTAAGCCCTCACCCAAATAGTGTAAAATGCCTCTGCATCATTTTGTTCTAATGGCAAATACATGGCACATTTCCTACAGATATCATGAGAATCAATGCTTGAGATCTAATATGTAGGTAGTGAAGAATGTGGGGCTTTTGCTCCCCTACATTAAGGTAAATTTAAACAGTTTCAATGATACAATAAAGGACTGGCTCAAATCAAAGAGTAGAAAGCTAAAAGATGCCATTTCTTGCTTTTGAGCATATGCATTTTTTTAATCTCCCTAAGTAGACTGTGAATTTTTGAGGAACTGATTAATGCACTTTTCTGTCCTAACTTGCACAATATCTAGGCACTGAGCATCATACATGAAACTATCCACTTCATGCTTTCTCATTACACTAAGGATTTCATGTCAGTATTATTTCTAAGCCAATTAGAAATACATACAGAAAAATAACACACTCATTCTTTTTAAAGGATTGCAGATAGGTAGTCAGGAATAAAGTATTTTGTTTCTGCATCATGGTAGGATGAAGTAAATGCCGAGATTTTCAGACAGATGATGTATGAACACATAAATCAACTTCACCTTGTAGTCCTAAGAGTCTTTCTTTGACAGGCAAGGGGCATGCCAATAATCCTAATAAGAGTATTGAACTATATGCACACATACAGGTTTGGGGAACTGGGCCTTGTTTGGTCCTTTGGATCCTCAGAATTTCCAGGGTGCCATGGCAGATTTTTCAAGGAATCACAAAACAAACTGCAGGATGGGTACCAAAGTCCTGGGCTGATGATGCTCAGAAACATATCCAGACTCTAGGTTGTAAGATTACAGAAGATCTAAATTCTATATAAAGGGGGGTAAGTCAAGGCTATGTGGCATGTCCTTGGTCAGTTGTGTTCCCATTCACCAATTAAGATAATATAAAGAAAACAGTATAGAACTAAATCCAAAGCAAGCATAGAACCAGAGAAAGGGTTAAATGTAATGCTTAAACTTTGAGGGATATGATTGGAGTAGCAAAGAAAAACATTTACTATAAGCATTTATATACTCAACCCAATGGGCTTTTCAATAAACCATTGAAGAGGGGAAAAATGTACAAAAATATGTTTTCATTGACAAATGCTTGTTAAATCTCCTAAAGCAAGTTTTTGCTTTACCCCCTACTTCCAGAGTGCTCAGTTCAATCCTATAAATTGGTTGAGGTGGGGAAAAAATCAGTTCCTAAGGTCTTTATAAACTTTTCACTTTTATTTTTAGAAAAAAAGATTATTTTTCAAAAACTGCAGGTGCGAGGAAACTAATATTGAAAGTCTCCTGTGAACTGTTTTATACCTTTCCCCATCAGAGTGTCCTTGGTCTAAAACAAATTGGATGAGAAAACACAAACCTTGTAGCTTCAGATATTCAAAAGCTTATTACAGCTGAAAATGAGTAAAATATTATGGCCAACAGGCCTATTAGAATAGAGAACAGATCTACCTTGTGCTCAAATGTAAAAGTAACCCCATCATAACCTCCAGACATAAGCAAATGTGTGCCCTAGCCTTCTGCATGGGCTCTCATTTAACCCACACTTTAATATAGTCTCAGTTTTTAATTTTAATTACTATTTAGGGAGCAATCAAAGTCTTTATTTGTGAGAAAAATTCCTTAAGATAATACAGAAGAGATGTTTATCTTATTCCATATTTCCATGTGTAAGGATTGCAATCTCTCCCAAAATCCTGTTGCAGGTCAGTGTAGACATTCAACGTTATTATATTTACATATCCAAAATAGAGAGCTACACCTTCAGTTTTCTAGAAGTACAATACACATATCTAGTGCAAGATTTTACTCACATGCAACCAGTATTTGTTTCCGATAATCTAAAGGGTAAAAAGTAATTGAAATCTATGTGTGTATACAGATTCAGGTATTTGGGAGAGGCGAGGCACCCAGCTAAAACACCCATTAGGATCTTTTTTTCTAACTCACATAGAGAAGGAATATTTGACTCCACAAAGATAATTTCTAGGTTTCAGAAAGAAATGTATCCCATTGACAGATTTCTCACACACACATGTGCAGACCCACGCCTTGCCTGTCAAATAAGCACATGAATAATAATAATACAAAAAGATCATATCATTTGCTGCATAGGTTTGCCCAGACTTGCAGTAGATATTTGGAGAAGAAGTCACAATGACCCACACTCACAATTACAGCTTCAAAAGCTAGTGGATTCCTAACAGAGCTCTTGCTTCTTCAGGTTTCTGAGACTCTTCCTTTCATCTTCTCTGTTGAATTCTTATGGAGCTGGAGGTGGTTATAGTCTACTCTGAATATATTTTAATAACAAAGTAACACCGATTTCTTTAGTCTCCTGTATAAAGTTTATTTTCCAATAATTCGGTTTTTCATTGTATTTGTTTTCTGGGCTCTTTCAAGGGTTTCCAATCAGTTTTGAGCATGAACATACATAAATGCAACCTTGGGACTAATATGAAGACTAGTGGGAAGACTTCTCCTAATTGTGGCATGCTATATTCTGCATGTGTTTTGTTTGAGACTGGATCTCATTCTGTAACCCAGTGATATGGTTTAGCTCTGTGTCCCCACCCAAATCTCATCCTGCGGCTCCCATAATTCCCACATGTTTTTGGAGGGACCGGGGGAAGATAATTGAATCATGGGGGCAGTTCTCCCCATACTGTTCCTGTGGTGGTAAATACGTCTCATAAGATGTGATGGTTTTATAAGGAGAAACCCCTTTCATTTGGCTCTCTTTGCCTGCTACCATCCCTGTAAGACATGAATTGCTCCTCCTTGCCTTCTGACATGATTGTAAGGCCTCCCCAGCCAGATGAAACCGTAAGTCCATTAAACCTATTTTTCTTCCCAGTCTCAGGTATGCCTTTATCAGCAGCATGAAAACATACAGCAAATTGGTCCCAGTAGAGTGGGATGCTGCTGAAATTATACCCGAATACATGGAAGTGACTTTGGAACTGGGTAACAGGCAGAGGTTGGAAATAGTCTGGATGGCTCAGAAGAAGATAGGAAAATGTGGGAAACCTTGGAACTTCCTAGAGACTTGTTGAATGGCTTTGCCCAAAATGCTGATAGTGATATGGACAATAAAGTCCAGGCTGAGGTGGTCTCAGATGGAGATGAGGAACTTGTGGGGAACTGGAACAAAAGTGACTCTTGTTAAGTTTCAGCAAAGAAACTGGTAGCATTTTGCCCCTGCCATGGAGATTTGTGGGACTTCAAACTTGAGAGAGATGACTTAGGGTATCTGGTAGAAGAAATTTCTAAGCAGCAAAGCATTCAAGAAGTGACTTGGATGCTGTCAAATGCATTCAGTTTTATAAATGAAGCGGAGCATAAAAGTTCAGAAAATTTGCAGCCTGACAATAAAATAGTAAAGAAAATCCCATTTTCTGAGGGGAAATTCAAGCTGGCTGCAGAGATTTGTATAAGTAATGAAGGGCTGAATGTTCATCCCCAAGACAATGGGGTAAATGTCTTCAGGGCATGTCAGAGGTCTTCACGGCAGGGCTTCCCATCACAAGCCTGGAGGCCTAGGAGGAAAAAATTGTTTTGTGGACTGAGCCCAGGCTCCTTCTGCTGTGTGCAGTCTAGGGACTTGGTGCTCTCTGTCCCGGCCACTCCAGCCATGACTAAACGGGGCCAAGGTACAGCTTGGGCCATGGCTTCAGAGGATACAAGCTCCAAGCCTTGGCATCTTCCATATGGTCTAGCGTTTCTAGCAGCCTGCAGGTGCACAGATGTCAAGAACTGAGGCTTGGAAGCCTCTGCCTAGATTTCAGAGGATGTATGGTAATGCCTGGAAGTCCAGACAGAAGTTTGCTGCAGGGGCAGGGCTCTCATGGAGAACCTCTGCTAGAGCAGTGAGGAAAGGAAATGTGGGGTCGGAGCCACCACACAGAGTCCCTACTGGGGCATCCCTTAGTGAAGCTGTGAGAAGAGGGCCACTGCCCTCCAGCCCCAGAATGGTAGATCCACCAACAGCTTGTACCACATGCCTGGAAAAGCCACACTCAACACCAGCCTGTGAAAGCAGCCAGGGGGGGAGGCTATACCCTGCAGAGCCACAGAGTCATGGGGCTCTGTGGGAATCCACCTCTTGCTTCAGTTTGACCCACAAGCAACACATGGAGTAAAAGAAGATCATTTTGGAGCTTTAAGATTTGACTGCCCTGCTGGATTTCGGACTTGCATGCGGCCTGTATCTCCTTTGTTTTGGCCAATTTCTCCCATTGAGAATTGCTGTATTTATCCAATGCCTGTACTGCCAATGTATCTAGGAACTAACTTGCTTTTGATTTTACAGGCTCGTAGGCAGAAGGGACTTGTCTTATCTCAGATGAGATGTTGGACTACGGACTTTTGAGTTGATGCTGAAATGAATTAAACATGTTGGGAAGGCATGATTGGTTTTGAAATGTGAGGACATGAGATTTACTGGGGGGGGTGGTGGAATGACGTGGTTTAGTTCTGTGTCCCCACCCAAAACTCATCTTATAGCTCCCATAATTCCCACGTGTTGTGGGAGGGACCTGGTGGGAAAGAATTGAATCATGGAGGTGGTTCTCCCCATACTGTTTTCATGGTAGTAAATAAGTCTCGAGAAATCAGATGGTTTTTTAAGGGGTTTCCACTTTCACTTCTTCCTCATTCTTTTCTCTTGTCTGCTGCCATGGTGAGATGTGCCTTTCACCTTCTGCCATGATTGTGAGGCCTCCCTAGCGACATAGAACTGTGAGTCCAGTAAACCTCTTTCTTTTGTAAATTGCCTAGTCTCCAGTATGTCTTTATCAGCAGCATGAAAACGGACCAGTACACCCAGGCTGGAGTGCAGCTGCATAATCGCAGCTCGCTCCACCCTTGACCTTCTGGGCTCAAGTGGTCCTCCCACCTCAGCCTTCTGAAGAGGGGAGACCACAAGCATGTGATACTATGCCTCGCTAATTTTTTTGTATTGTTTTTGTAGAGATTGGGTTTCTCTGTGTTACACAGGCTGGTCTCGAATGACGGAGCTCAAGTGATCCGCCTGCCTCAGCTTCTCAAAATGCTGGGATTACAGGCTTGAGCCACCAACCAGCCTGTCTTGGATGTTATTAAAGATCAAAGAATGTTAGAATTGGAAGTAAATTCTAAATATTTCATGTTGAGATGAGAAAACTGAGGCTTAAAGGAACTAAATGATATTCTCAAAGTTAATAACAGAACTGAAAATACCATAAAGACTTTTTGAATCATTACTTAATTTTTCTTCTATTATAGCCTACCCTCACCTATGATAACAGTTCGAATAAATGCAATGCATATATGCATATGATAAATATTTATCATTGGGTAATTTATTGATATCAAATTTCCACCAAATAAATATTGATTCCTTGTGCCAGTGTTGATGTGATGTGCTTTCTGATAAATAAAGCCATTTTCCTGTGAAAGACAAAGCCATGTCTCTCACATATCTGATAAAAAAGAAAATAGATAGTCTCTATTAACATTTACTGAAAACCACAAAGAATATAGTATTATAATCACTATGCATAATTCCCTACAAGTTTTAGTAAATGTACTTGATTTACAAACTTGCTTACCACCAAGTCCCATCTATGTCATTGGCAAAATCATTAAGAGTAGGAAACCAGAGACGACCCTGGAGCTGTCCCTTGCGTGTTGTAGCCTCCTACATTGATGCCTGTGGCTATTTTCCCTACCACCTAGTAAAATAAGTCATTTGTATACTATTTTGCATTGGCCTATGTATTTAATCAGGATTCATTTAACATTTGTTGTGCCAGGTTTAATTCCAGGAAATGGAGAATTAGGGCAGTGATTGGCAGAGCCAGGAGAGCTGTCCCTACTAATAGGGATGTCAAGGGAGTGGCTTGCGCTGGGAAGGGTGAGACGGTGTCAAAGTCAGAGCCAGAGACTTGTGTCCCATATTTCATTAGAATAAGATTCTGGAATTCAGAGAGCGAGTCAGGAGCCAAGAGGATGAAAAATGAATGAAAGAGTGGCTTGCGCATAGAAGGATATCTGAGCAAATCCTTGATACAAATGAACCTGCAGTGAATCTTTTCCATGTTTCTTAAGCAGGTTGGTGGAGTACCTGATCCCACAAGGGAAACAAGGATGAATAAGACACTGGTTTCAGTTTAGTGTCTGAGGAAGAAACATATGGGAAGACAACCCACAAATAAGTAGCGGGGACACACTGAGGAAGGCACTGCTTGATGTGTAAAAAATGACAGGGATGCAGAGGAAAGGAGTGGAAAATTGTGCCAGGACATCTGTGCCAGCTTCCTATTGCTACTGTAACAAACTTAGAAGCTGAAAAGAACACACGTTTATTACAGTTCTGGGTGAGGGGTCAGAAATGGGTCTTCCTGGGCTAAAACCAACATGTTGGCAGAGCTGTGTTCCTGCCGGAGACTCTAGGTGAGGATCAGTTTCCATGAATTTTCCAGCTACCAGAGGGTGCCTGCCTCCTTTGGCTCATGGACCCCTTTTGTCTTCAAAGCCAGCAATGACCAACTGAGTCTTTTTCATGCCACATCCCTCTGAATGGGAGTCTCCTGCCACCTTTTTCACTCATGAGGACCCTTGTGAGTCCTTGGGTCCAAGAAGCTAATCCCAGAAAACCTTCCCGTCTCGAGATCTTTATTCACACCTGCAAAGTCTCTTCCTTTTGCAGTGCAAGGTGGCATATTCATAGGTTCCGGGAATTAGGATGGGGACATCTTGGGGAAGGGGACATTATTCTTTCTACCACAGAGTCAGAGGAACTTAAGGCGGCCCAAGAAGACTTCACATGAGATGATGTTGGTGGTATCTTGTATGATAAACAGATTTCCACAGAGATTGCATATGTGTTAGGGGAAGGGAGAAAGGATGGATTCCAGGTAGAGTGAGGCTTACACAAAACAGAGTCAAAGTCTTTCATCCATTGCTTCCTTGTTAAATATACAATCTGCCAAATAAACAAACTGGGCTGACATTCCTAGTCATAGTGCTTTTTCTCACATCTGCTACTCTCCTGGAGGTTTTCACAGATTA
The DNA here is from genome assembly GCF_000001405.40 of Homo sapiens. Classification (NCBI taxonomy): domain Eukaryota; kingdom Metazoa; phylum Chordata; class Mammalia; order Primates; family Hominidae; genus Homo; species Homo sapiens. The sequence continues at coordinate 181,182,182 of NC_000004.12, read as the reverse complement.
ATACCACGTTTCCATACCTAGCCACATACTAAGGTTAAACCAGCTGATCTATTCAAAAGTTTCATTGTTTTCTCTCTCTTTAAAGCTGAATACAGTATTTTTTCTTGTTTAGAGTTCAAACAATCTTTTCATTATTCACAAGGGCTGAATAATGTAATAACTAGAAATAGTGCTGAAATACAATCTGCCTCCCCCTTAAGTCAACAAAGGTTTCCATCCTCTAATCCTATTGATGTGCATAAGCTATTTTCAAAATATTCATCTCCTTCAGTGGCCTACTTTGAGTTCAAAACCTCCCATCAGGCCACCATCAAGGTAGGGGTTGACTGAATGCAATCCATTTTTGTTTGCTTTTCATATGAAGGACAACATTCTCCAGTCTGGGTGAGGAGTATGTGAAAGTGAACCAAAGGCAGAATTAATAGGGACAATGAGGAGCAAGACTTAAGCCCATGATTATCCATTCAGACTGTCAATAAACTGCTGCCTCTAGCCTGCTTCATCAGTGTCCCTTTACAGAGTCCAGGTTTGGGGACATTCATAGCCAACTCCATACACCAACAGCATGGATTTATGCCAAGGACTATCCTGAAACAGGAATGTCAGGGGGCCTGGAGAGTGTAATCAAAGCTGCCTCCATTGCACAACTGAAAACTAGTCATCCTGCTCCAGGCCAAAGCTGATTCAAGCTATCTGATGGTTCCAAGTTAGGTTGGATCCTTTTTTCCACGTGTATGCAGCAAGATGTCTAAATCTGAGATTTACAAAGAGGTTTCTTACCATTTAGGGGTCTCAGATCAAGCTAGATAATTGCAATGTTCCCTGGAGAGAGTTGATATTTGGTAGTAGACTTAAACCTGTCTATTCTTAACTATCCCTCAGGCACGAGCAAGCCACAAATTTAACTAAACCTCAAAGGTAATGTGACTAACGTCAAGGGAGGTACAGTAACACAATGTGGTTGGGGCTGGTTTCCAAATCCTTCCTCTTAAATGTTATTTTACACGTATTCCTGTATTTTTTCATTGTGGAAAAAAGTCTACTTGATATATATTATTTAGGAATATTTTTATGTTGCCTTTCTATAATAACATATTTCTGTTTCTTTTGTGTTTTGTCCCTCTGAATATGTCCCTACACTCTTGTGCTATTTCTTTGGATCCTTTCCTCAGTGACCTAGCCTAATTTCCAAGGATGGTTGCATTCCCACTTGCTTTTCAGATTTCTTATTGCCCTGATTTTTGCAAAGTTTGTATTTTTCTATTGTCTTTGTCTTTCTATGCATTGGGAATTTGGGCTATCATAAAAGTTTCCCTCAAAAAGTAACAATGCCGAGAGAATTTATTTAACAAATCATCCAGAAAGATTGTAAAATATATCCTATGACTATTTACATCTCAACATTCATGGCAGTGTCCAAGGATGTCTGAGGAACCCTCAGCATTTAAGCAAAAACCAATATTTAAATAGTGCCTGTCACCTGCCAAGCCCTGTGATGAGAGCCAGGGATGTAAGCGTGATATCTGAGTATAAGATGAGAGACTTAAAGATGAGTAAGATATGGTCCCTGCTACAAAGAAGAAAGTCCAGAAAGGACACAGATATGCAAATAGTTATAATGCAATGTGATAAGTGCTTTTACAAAACGTATGAACTAACTCCTTTGGGAACAGAGAGAGAGGAGCAATTAATTCAGCCTGAAGTAGTTCAGGGAAGCTTCAGATAAGAGGTCACATTTCAACTGGGCCTTGAAAGAAGAGTGGGGCTTCACCAGGGACTTAAGGACGTTGAAAGGATGGAAGGGAAAGAGGGAAAGTATACCACAAGTAGAAGGATCAGCATGAACAAGGGTTCAAGAAAGTTCAAGGCTCAGTCCCTGGCACATGATTAACTCTAATACGTGTCTTTGAATGAGTGAATGAATATGTGTCTGAAGACTTGTCTGCAATCTCTCTCTCACATCTCAAAGTATGGGTGTTTAGGTGTCAGAAGAGGAAAACCTTGTGGCTGATTGCATGCTGCTTCCAGGGATTTTTAGCTTGAGTCCCTCTGCCATGGCGACCACCACGGGCATGGAGGTGGAGGCTCTCTAAGAAAAAGCTCACTTTCTTTCCTTTTTGAGGAGTAACGAGGAGGGTACTTCGCATTCCTTAACTTAGCCCCTGTAGCCTCTTTCTGTGCCAATGGGAAGCTGAATGGCAATGATGTGAATGCTTGATTTGTAGTCAGATGGTTAGTAACTAGCTAAAGTGGAAGGAATGGGTGGGGCGTGCCAGGTAGTCAAAACAGCAGAATAAAAAGGCTTCTCGGAGAAAGGGACCCTGCAAAATGGTCCTGGTGGCTGAACTGCAGAGAATAAGGGAAATACAGTTGTAGTGGCTCTAGAAAAAAGAGGTGGCGGCCAGTCCTTGCAATACTGTGGAGAACAAGTCAAAACAGAGTTCTAAGGGAGATGAGACAATTTGAAGTGGGTTAAGTAGGACTTTACTATGAAAGGGTTCTCATTTCAAAATACAAATTACTCTGCCCCATGAAAGGCTGCGGATTGGAGGTTGGTACTTCAGTGGATGCTAGGACAGGAGTCTAGGGCACTTGTTCAATCAACAGAAGAGGGTAGCTTGAAGTCGGGGATGGCAGTGAAGCTGAAGAGAGATGGACAGATTTGAAAGAGACTTAGAAGGTAAAATGGAAAGTGTAAACGCCTACTACATATTTAAATATTGACTAATATTTGTCGAAACACGTAAATAATTTTAATTAGGATGTTCAGTGATTCCTTGACCCTTAAAACAAATATTTACTGAGTACCAATTACTAGGCAAGTAAATGTGGCCAAGGCGCTGAGGACACAGATGAAGCCAGATCTAACGGAATTTGTATTCTGGTGGACAGGCAATAAGCAAATAGGACAGGATGATTTCACAGAGTGCCAAGAAGTGGAGCAGCAAGACACCACTTCTGATCAGGTGTCAGGAAAGGCATGTCCCAGGAACACCTGAGTCACCTGAGTGGCAGGAAGTCAGCCATCTGGGGGTGCACAGAGATTCTCTCATCTTCAGGTTAGATTTCCTACCAGTCTCCTTATCGTCTTGCTGATCTCTCTCTTTTTTTTTTAGGCCTCAGAAAAGTTTTTTGTTTTTTTTTTTCCCACACTTGTCTATGTTCTCAGGAGTCTCTCTACATTTAACTCCTCTGTGTCATAGCAGTGAAACCACTAGGGATCACAGAACATTTTGCTTCCTTCTGCCTCAGGGGCAGAAGGGACTCCTGTTAGCCTTGAAAAAATTAAAAAAGAAAAAACACAAACTTATCTCAATCTCCACCATACAAATTCTTTCAAAAGCTGTTTGTTTAAACAGATGTGTGATAAAACTGATAAAAACTTTACAATCTATTTTCTTTAAAAAAATTCAATTAACAGTTTAGCATACATTGAATTGCTGATTAATAATTTGAACACCCTAGCCGTATTAGAGTTGTTATTTTATGGGAATTCCAAATGTCTGGAGAAGTCATTTTCAAAAGGGTTATAGTTTTAAACTTATAGTTCTGTCCATTTTTAGAAATTTGTTTTTAATTACTCATTTATCTCTTTTTAAAAGTTATTGTAAGTTGAAATATTAAAGATGTTGCATATTAGGGGTTAATGATGTTTGGAATTCTTAAGTTTGAAATCTGCAAAAGACAAATGTTTAAATCAGTCTTTGTACACGCCTATATCTATATAGATATATCTCTACACATAGATAATATATTTTTATTTAGCAAGTACCATATGGTATCTCAGAGTACAGTGAAATTGCTTGGACTGCTTCTATTATAGTGTCTGTAATGTTCATTCTAATTTTCCATGTTCTTGTAGAGAAGGAATCTGAAACCTTGAGGGAAAAGAAAACATACAAATGCTATTAGAGTACACATTTTTGAGCAGCAGGAAGTCAGTAGTAAGTGTCAGAGACTGATCAGGATTGTGTTCTATATATAAACAATTGCCATCAGGTGTACCCTGGTACTAGGTCATCCATGCACCCAAGCAGTAATCTGAACAATTTAGAATTTCAGGCAGCCTAGAGAGAGAATAAATTATTGAAAAGTTTAACTTCAAGTGTAAAATGTATCTTTCTGGCAGATTTCTCATAGAAACAGAATCTGTCCTTTCATATTAATTTAGATTTGTTTATTGAATCAGATTTTTAAATAATTTATCTACAACACACAAAAATGTGTTGGTGTATCATTTGTTAAGCAAAATTATGAGGTGACCCATAAATGGAGAATAGATGTACATATATATTTGGTGTTTTCTACCTACAACAGGCCATAAAATGAGAAGAGCTTTATTACTGAAGAAATGTTGGGTTTTAACCAAACTTTGCTATATTTTTTATATTGTTGAAATCGAATCAAAATCAATAAAGATATAAGTACTGACTAAAACCATGGTTACAAGGTTATTTCTAGATGGCTACTCTAAATCCCCCTGACTTTATTATTGGAAAATAGTTAAGAATTCATTCTAGAATCTAGAATCTCAGCTAGATTACATCTTTATTAGCTTGGTATCTACTTGAATCAAATGGAACATTCGTCACATCAGAGAATTCACTATCTGGCAAAGCTTGCTGGATCTCTTCAGACACATTCTTTTCTTTTTTTCTATTAGAGCTCCAAAGTTTTAAACTATATGATTACCTTTCCAAACCTCCCTTGAAAATGTGACCGTATGACAAAGTTATGACTAGGACTATCCAAGTGGAAATGATGTGTGCTATTCACAGGATGCACTCCTAAAACGAACAGGCTGTCCTGCACTGGCTCATTCCCACTGGCTGGGATGCAGATGTCTTGTCTGGAGCTGCTGCTGCCATCTTGAACCTAGAGATGAAAGCCTCTTTTTCCTTGTAGCATATGGCTGTTACATGAGAGACTGATACATTTCTATTTTTTAAATTCACTCAATTTGGGGATCCATTTAGTCTGTATTCTAATATATCCCTCTGTATCTGCATCTAGCTCTCTCAGATGCTCCTGACTTCAAAAATCTCACTCTTTATTTTATAATTTATGAAATTACCACTTTGATTAGGAATGAATTTTGATGGCCGGGCATGGTGGCTCATGCCGGTAATCCCAGAACTTAAGGAGGCTGAGACGGGCGGATCACCTGAGGTCATGAGTTCAAGACCAGCCTGGCCAACTTATAGTGAAACCCCGTCTCTGCTAAAAAATACAAAAATTAACTGGGCATGGTGCAGCATGCCTGTAGTCCCAGCCACTTGGGAATCTGAGGCAGGAGAATCGCTTGAACCTGGTAGTCGGAGGTTGCAGTGAGCCGAGATCACACCACTGCACTCCAGCCTGGGCAACAGAGCAAGACTCTGTCTCTCAAAAAAAAAAAAAAAAAAGAAAAAAGAAAAAAAAAAGAAATGAGTTTTGAAGCATTTACATGAATTGTTAAACTTGTTATATTTTTTAGAGTCTCATGCCCTTCAGATGCAAATGAATGCTCTATTGTTTTAAAACTGAAATGCACTCTTGCTAAAGTTTTGGGGAAACATGGGGATGCCAGAAGTACACATACAGATTCATTCTGTGACTGAAATTTAGCTTTTCAGGAGGGCGTTTTTGACATTCAGTCTGCCAATGTGTCACAGGACAGATACGAAACCACGAATCATCTCAAAGGGATCTTCCGCTTACTACAGGGCTGTGACTGAACGTTGGAACTATTCAGAGAATGAGCAAGATAGAGCAAGAAAAGATGCACTCATGATTCAAAAATAGATACAAACATTTCTTCTTTGAAAAATGCCACCATATCATTTATGGCTTTTAGAAATCAAATTGTGATCTAAATCATATGAATCGACACTCATACCCTATGTTTGTTTTTAAAATGGAAAACTCTATGAGGGCAGGGCCCATGTTTATTCCATCTATATTCCAAGCATGTAACAGGAAGTCCAGGTCACAGGGACTTACAAATGTTTGCTGAATGGCTGAGTTAATATCATGCTTTTTAATGCCACATTTCTCACTGGAAGCATCTTGTCTCTCTTTCTTCTGCAGAATGGCATCATAAGAGACTATGAGAGTGCAGAGCATACCCAGAACTTCTGAGGCTTACAAAGTGATAATAAGCTGAATTGGAAAGAATGGGTAGGAAAGGAGATGGAAAAATAACAATAAAAATTACTCATGCATGGGATGTGGACCAGCAAGGATGATACTAGTTGATCCAAGGATGACCTAGAACTTGAATAATTAAGTAAACAGATAATCTAATGACTCCACAATTCTACTCTTGTGTATATACCCTCAAACATTGAAAAGAGATACTCAAATAAACCCATGCACATATGTTTTCAGAGCTGCCTCAGTCACAAGAGCCAAAAGGTGGAAACAACCCAAATGCCCATCCGTGGAGCAACGGAGAAACAAACCGTGGTAGTTCCATGTGGTATATTCCATACATGTACAAGGGAATAATATTTAGCCATGAAAAGGAATAAAGTGTGGATAAATGTTACAATGTGAATGAACCTTAAAAATATTATGCTGAGTGAAATAAGCCCAACATCGAAGGTCACCTATGGTATTATTTCATTTATGTGACAGACTCAGAATAGGTAAATTCATAGGAAAATAATGCCGACTGGTGGTATCCAGGGGCTGGGGGAAATGGGGAGAAACTGTTCAATAAGCAATCGGTTTCACTTTGGGGTGATGGGCATGTTTTAGAACTAAATAGAAGTTGGTCTTGCACATTGTGAATAGGCAAAATGGCCCTCAGTTGTTCACTTCAAAGTGCTTAATGTTATATCATGTAGATTTCATCTCCATAAATTATTTTTTTAAAAGATAACCTATGCCTTGGATTATCTTAGAGTTTCAATCAATGGCTTTTGAAGAAAAAACTTTTTTCATCCACGCCAGAGCAATTCTACCATTATTCCTTTATGTTATTTTGTTTCTTGACTATATTTATATCACAGTTACAATTATCAGTTCATTCCAAAGTGGGGGTCTAGATTTTCTTAATGAAAATATTAAATTTTTTAAAGTATGAGACTGAAAAGAAAATCATTTCGGGTATGATTAATGAGAGGTAGCTGAACACGGTAGAGCTCACAAGCATTTCAGTGGCTCTTTTGGAGATCATACGGTGCAGACAATGTAACCAGTACCCAGAACTGGGCCTGGTCAGGGCTGCTGCAGATCAGGCACTGCCCCTCCTGCGAGCAGAGCACCACTTCTCTCCTGCCTTATGCAGGTGACTGTGTCCTCTACCCCGGACTCCAGGGAAGGTTTCTTCTCACTGTTACCCTCATAAAGGAGTTGGAAGATCCTGCTCACTTTCAAGGCAAGAGGCAGCTCATGAATTTTCATCACCTGCACAGATGCTGATACGGTCAAGGGGAGTTTCCACACCTCCTACTCCCTGAGAGGCAAAGTCGGAAAAGGGGGCACTTGTAAGTTTTGCATTTTCAGTAAAGCTGTCAAAATGAATTAAGCATTAAGCATAGTAGAGGAAGGGAAGCAATGTTTTTGAGTTGAAGCTTAAAAATAAACAACTATCTGTATCATTAATATAATTATACAACTACAAATATTTTTACCAAATAATAATGTGCATGGGAAAAAGTAAGTTGGTTTCTAAAGAAATTGTTCACACACTTTATCTCTGAATGCCTTGAAATGGAGAATGATTTCTGTTGGGGTGCTCCGAAGACCAGAGCTGCTGTGTATACTGATCAAATTATCCAGATAATGGCTTTATGGGAGTATTGGCTAGAGAGTCTACAGTGCAAATATAATGAGAATGATAATAAAAACAATAACATTAGATTACATTGCTTGAATGTTCACTATGTCAAGTGCTTTAACTTCATTATTTAATTAAATAAGCATTCCTTTCTTGTATAATCTAGTAGTTAAGCACACAGAACCTGGAACCAGGCAGTGTTTGCTTTCCAACTTTAACCTTTACTTAATCATCATAGCTCACTGCAGCCTCCAACTCCTGGGCTCTAGAGATCCTCCCACCTCAGCCTCCTGAGTAACTGGGACTACAGGCATGCACCACCACAATTGGCTATTTTTTAAATTTTTTTGTAGAAACGGGGTCTTGCTGTGTTCCCCAAGCTGGTCTCAAACTCCTGTCCTCAAGTCATTCCACCCGCTTCAGCCTCCAAATGTGTTGGGATTACAGGCGTGAGCCATCATCCAGCCTCGTCTTTAATCTTTATGCCTCGACCTCTTCATCTGTAAAATGGGAATAACAACTATACAGACCTCATGGGGCTGCTGTGAGAATTTAATGAGTTAATATACATAAAGAGCTTAGAAGGGTGCCTGGCGCACAGCAAGCATCATATAAACTGTAGCTATTGCTATTTTTCCTTAAAAGAAGCCCTGTCATTGGATTTGCTAAACCTTGCTTGACATATACAAGTAAATCAAATTAGACATTAGACATAGGAATTTCTGAGAAACCACGAGCTTTCGTATCCATCCTTTACACCGTACTGTAGTTGTGACTCTGAACTTGCTGCTTTTGTTGATGCCCCTTGAATGACCTAACCCCTTTCCTGCCTCTTGCTAAAGTTCACAGAGAAGCTCACAAGAAGAGTGACAAAGCAGTCATTTTTTATGAAAAGAGCACTGACCTAAACAACTCCCAGAAACACAGAATCTCCCATGATTTCTTTGAGACATTTTTTTTTCCTGCAATTGCAGATGTCATTTCCACAAATTTTCATTTTGGCATTTGGCACATGCATGTTATTTGAAAGCAATATTGCACATGTGCTGGCTGTTACCGCGACATTCTTTGGGGACTGCTTCACACAAATTAGGTGAGAACTTATCTTTGTAAAAGAATGTCTGTCACTGACAATTATGGTGATGCCCAGCCAATGCCCACATTGCGAATACAGAACGTCAACATGTATTTCTCAAGTTTTATAATTCAAGGAGGAAACATCAGGCTCGAATGGAAAGGAAACAGCTCCATCTTCCAACTGCCACAATTGTGCCCCCTTTAGAAATGGTGGGGCCTGAATTCCATTAGTTAGCATAAGTCACATTTGAATAAAGAGGTGAACAAGCCACAATCCACTGCCATAAAATGGGTCACTGCTTTAATGAAAGAGGGGCTTGTTCTTAATTTATTTGGATCCCAAATCAAATTATGTAGTATTAGAGCCTTTTTTCTTTTTTTGGACTTAGCAGTCTTTTTTGTTGCCTTGGAAAGGCTTGCTTTTGTGCTGAGCTGTTCAACTGAAGGTCTTTGTTAAGAAGATAACCAGGACTTTTAGGCTCACAAACAGGCTTTTTGCAAACTTTTCTATGGAATATTTTAACATACATAAGCAACCTTGAAATGTGTGCTTAAGTTTGAGTTGAAGATGAAAGCCGAAACTCAAAGTGATGTTTAGTTTATTGATATTCATAGTGACAATTTTAATGTGTTTCTGGAAAACTTAGTATGAACCTTGGCCTTTCAAATTTAAGGTTAATATTTTTAAGTCAAAGCCCTAGAAGCAAACATTTAAAATAAGACTGTTTCTCCCATCATATTTGACATTTTCCTTGCAATTTCTTATATAATTTTTGAAAGCTATAATGTTACATACATAATGTACCAAATAAATGTTTACTTAATGTAGAAGGTGATATATGCAAAAATATTTTGGAAGGCATTATAAAGTTTTGAAATATTAACTTTAATATTTTAATGTGAATTCATGCAACCCTTTGAAACTCTGGCCAAACCAGTGGATTAGAAGAGCCTTCGGGAGAAAATCGTTCTCATTAAGACTTGAATATAGTATAGAATTTAAGTACTGTTTTGTCTTGTTTTCTCTTTCTGGTTGTGGGGACTAGGATAATTGCTCTGTTGGGCTAAGAGAAAAAAAAGGAGTTTGTCTTCTCTTTTCTCTACCAGCTGCCGTTTCTCTGCCAGTATTATGATCACACCAGTTGCTTGCTTCATAGCAGGTACAAAATAAAGCAATTTCCTCAGCTACCATCAAAGGCTGTCTGCAGGGTATGGAATAACAGCAGAACCCTCATCCTAGGATAATTTTGTCAATTCCACTCCCACTCATGCAGTAAAAACTCAGCTAGTAGCAGCTAATAGTAGCTAATAGTTATTGAGTACTTACTATATGCTAAGTGCTTTGCTTGGATTATTTCATCCAACTCTTGCACAATTAGCAATTCCGCTCCATTGCCACAGTGAAACTAGGCTATATTACGGCTATCAGCAGCTGATACATATTGAGCATTTACTATGTGCTAAATGCATTCCTTGCATTATCTCATTTAATCTTCACTCCAACCCTCTGGTCTTGTAAGCACAGATGATTTTAGTTCTTTGTGATTTATTTGGAGAACATGGTCAGTTGTATTCACTTCTCCACCTCATGGAGGTCTGGTTCATACTGAGCTGCAATTTGCAAACAAGATGGCTAAGAAGATGATGAAGAAATAAAAGAAAGAAGAGGGAAGGTGGGAAGAAAGAAGAAAGATAAACTGCTTTATCAACTGCCTTCTAGGAGGGAAGACCCAGGCTTCATTTCTCTTAATTCTCATTGTAACCTTTAAGGGTGGTGTGTTTATTTTTCCCATGTTAAAACTAAGAAAATAGAAGCATGCTAAGGTTACATAATTCCATCAAGTCTCTATGATCTGCAAGTGAGTTGTCAAACAATAGAATCCTATGTGCAAATCCCTGAGTTCACAGGCCTGGCAGACCCCTATTGCCATTGCCTGGCACTCTTGGGAACAGGCTGAGCCAAGGACCTTCCTCAAAGACAGGAAGCATAGCTGATGTCATAAGACCCTATGCTGGGGAGGAGCACCAGGAAGAGGATGGATGTTTAAATGTTGAAAGCACTTTTGCCTACTGGAGTATGGCAGGGCCAGGAGAGGACAGCCATAGACATGGCCTATGGCAACTCACTCCACAGGAGCCAGCCCACTGGTTTTACAAAGCTTTGGCACTCAGCTCCTTCATCCTACCCAGGCATTAGACAGGGCCGATACCATGTGGACTCTGAGACGCACGTGCTCTCCCCTTCCTTTGCCTCTATTTGCTGTGTTTTTCTCATACGGTCATTGTAGTACCCATCTTAGCATTGACAATGTCTGTATTTTCCTTAAAGAAAAAAACTGCATTGCCTCTGGACTTTGAGCTTCTTGAGAGAAGGGACTTCCTTTATTTATTAATGAATCCCCAGGACTGTTCACAGAACCTGTTGACCCTGTATAAATATTTGTTGGATTAACACCATTCAGGCTGAACACAAATGCTGTATATGAAAAGACAGAGGATATCTATTAGACTAAGATGAGATGGGCTAGAAAAATATATATATATACACTGTTTCTGCATATATTTCAGTTAATGCCCTGGGCTGAACTTTTTTTTTTTTTTGTGATGAAGTCTTGCTCTGTTGCCCAGGCTATAGTGAAGCAGTACAATCTTGGCTCATTGCAACCTCCTCCTCCTGGGTTCAAGGGATTCTCCCACCTCAGTTTCCCAAGTAGCTGGGATTACAGGCCTGTGCCACCACGTCCAGCTAATTTTTGCATTTTTAGTAAAGATAGAGTTTCACCATGTTGGCTATGCTGGTCTCGAACTCCTGACCTCAAGAGATCTGCCCACCTCGACCTCCCAAAGTGCTGGGATTACAGGCGTGAACCGCTGTGCCTGGCCAGCTGAGGTTTTCACAACCTTTCTTCAACCTTCCACATGCTGCTTCCTATTCTTCAAACTCCAACTGTAAGAGGGTGACCTTTGAGTAAGATCTGTCTTTGACGCCGTGGCACTGTGTATTTCAGGGGCTAGCTGGGCTCATTGTGTATTTATTCCACGATTTCCAAGGCCAAGTTGTTAGTCACTTAAAATAGGGCATCCATTTTTATTTTATACCCAAATCATAAAAGATTGCTTAAAGTCAAGCAGTCAAGCAGGCTTGTAGTGGTGTCTCCATAATCATCTCAGAAGATTTAAAGCACCAGAGGAAGCTGATAAATTCTGTTTAAAGCTAAGCATAAGCATGGTCTAATGTAGACTGAATCAATTCAGTTAAAACATCCACCAGGAAAACATTTAAAAAGGTGATGGCTTTCTGCCCCTAAGCCCTAAGTAGCAGTCCTGAGTAGTAAGTTAAAATTAGAATTTGTTAAAAGTATGCAGTATGTTTATGAAGGGTAAGGGATATTTGAAAGCAATATTTAAATATTTTTAAAACATGTCTGATGCAGAAGAGAAGATTTCACTTTCTCTTTAGAGTTACTGAGGCGCAAGATAAGAGTAGGAAAGTTCACCCGGCCATGTATATTTTACTGCAAACATGTCATTTTAGACATCTTTCAAAATGTATCTGGAATATGGAAAACAGTCCTACTGAGCTATTGTTTGGCATAGCTCATTGACATATTTATGTTTGCAAAATCAATCAGATCAGGGCAACTGTGAGTTTTGGGTTTTTTTTTTTTTCCTGTTTGAGAGAATGGAGTCTTGGAGATTTCAGTAAAAGTAAAAATAAAAGAAATGTGCAATGCATTTTGCCTATTATGTTGCCCTTAAAATTAAGAAAAAAAAAGACAGAAAAAGGGAGAAATTAGGAGAATGATTTAGGGATCCAAAGATACCGTAATAAGTGGCCAATGTGTAACAATATAAGGATACTGAAACATATCCCAGAAGCTGGTTCCAGGACCAGATTTTCATCCTACATGCTGTGAATTTTCAGAAAGTCAACAGCTATTAGACCCTCACATGTCTCTTCTAAAATGATGGCAAGAAACACAGTTCTCTGCTTCCCAGAACGGTCATGAGGATCCTATAACATACATAACGTATATAAAAGCATTGGAAAACACCACAACCACCATCACAAGAGTACCATAGACAAATGGAATTAAGGTTAACAATGTAAAGCAATTATTATTTAATTAGAACAAGCTATTGTCTCGGAAATTCCATGTAACTTGAACTTTTATTTCAATTTATTATATTCTTATTTTCTACACTCTGAGGAGAAGAGAAACACCTATTTGAAATGACATTTTTAGAAAATCATACTTGAATTTGATGTATCTTATATTCTCGCTCCACCTGGGGTAGAAGGAGGGTGAAGGGGTGAACGGTAAGCTTAAGAAAAGCAGGCTTTCTTTTAAAATTAGAATCTCAAAGGAATAGATTTTTACAATAGTTACAATTCTTAGCCAAGATATAAATTTAATAATATAAGGGACAAAGGAAGGGAAGAATATTGGAATCGTTATGCGCAGGACTAGCAGAAGATTTTCTTGTAAAACAATGATAAAATGGAGAATTGTCTCCAGGCAGCAAGGAGTCATATCAAACCCTACCTTGGGAAAGTTTTCCAAAGTTGTATTTCTTTACTTTCTTAAACATCTTCTGGTATATCAATTCCAGCAATATTTTGGCAGCCTAAAATTACACCATCCTGACCTTGACATTAGTATTCAACAGCACTGATGAAAGAATGACAGCTTCTCCATCCTAGTGAGTGATCTTGCAAGCTTTTCCCTTCATGACTATGGAGTTTCTGTCAAATGTGCTTCCAGCTGAATGATCACATTCTTTTGAATTATGAAGTGGCTGCAAACTGTGCTAATTGGGTCCACACTGATGTCACTGATAAGGATTAAACAGCCTTGATTGTCGTAAGGTCACAAATATATGTAATTTTGCTATACATGTATATTCCTTTTAGCGTAATCCATAACTATAGCCATGCGGAATTCTTTCGTTTAATTAAAATGGTCATTAAAGACATTAAGATGAATCAGAGGCAAATCATAAAGAGACGAATGGAATAGCTAAGAGCAAATGTAATGAAAGGTTAAATATCGTGATTTTTTTTATTATTTATGAAGTGTGAATAGTAATGCTTGGGAGTGCAGAAAATATTTAAGAGGGTTCCATCTTTGCCCAGAAGGATTGAGCTATAAATGCAGAAGAACAAAGAGCAAATATCAAGCCACAGAAATGTTGAGAAATAATGTCTTGAACGAATGTAGCTTTTCTTTTTGTGTATTACGAAATCTTTTCTACATTTAAAGACTTTCAGTGGTAAGCTTCTAAAAGGCAGGGACAAGACTAGAAGAATTTTGTACTCTAGCCAGAATACTGTAATTTACACATGGGCATTTATTAATTAATTACTGTTAGATATAAATGTAACAGTCCGTATGAGATTCTAGAAGACAGTAATGAACTTCTGCAACATAGTTCAGTGCTCTCTAGCCACAAAATTATACCGATATTTTAAACCGGTGAAATTTGAATAGAATAGTTGAAATTAGTAAATTATTAAAATAAGTTGCCAAGCTACTGAATATCAAAGTATAATAAATTACAATACTCTATTAAGAAACAAAATTGCCTACTCAGTTGCTTCATGAATTTAATATGGGTATGCTGAGTACTCTCAGTAAATAATGTTGTCATTGCATATTTTATACAAAAAGAGGTACAGAAACCAATATTTTCAAAACTTGAGATACTTTGCAATATGCAGGCTTAAAAAATACTAACTTGTCATATCAGCTTTTGTAGAAAAAAATACGAATAAGATTATGGTTGCCTTTAGTTTCTCTGATCTCATAAACACTCTGCTAGACCCCAAATGCTTTCCTGAATTTGTCCTTCTTGTCGGGTTTTGATATTTGTATATATGTTTATCCTCTCTATAAGCAATAGAGAGTATTTTACGTGTTTTATAATTTATAAAAATGATTTCTTAGTTACATATCCTTCAACTTGCTTTTCTCACTCAACATTAATTTGAGGAATATCAATATTGATACGTGTAACTCTGGTTCATTCATTTTAGATTCTTTATAGTATTTCAATTATCTCATCATTTGTTTCTTCAGTTAATTAAATATTTATTGAGCACCTACTACATTCCAGGCATTCTTCTAGGTGATGAAGACTTAACAGCCAACAAAATAGAAAAAGTGGCTGCTATTGGAAAGCTTACTTCTTAGGGAGTGGATTCCAACGGATGCATCTGTTCTTCTGTGGATGCTTTCAAGTTTTTATCATTACAAACAGTGCTACTGCAAACAACCCTAAACACAATCACTTGTGTATTATTTAAGAGGGGAAATAAAAGAAGTGGGATACGGGGTTTGTCCCTGAGGCCAACTTGTTATGTAAAGTGAGTAAGCTAAATTTACATGCCCATCCGGGATATAAGGGAACTCCCATCTATTCATATTCCCCCAACAGGGGTCTTGTTAAACTTCTGAACTTTCGCCTCCAGATGGGTCTGTAATGGTACTTCAGTGGCATTTGCATTTTGTTGATTCTAGGTGAGGTTGAGCATTCACTGTGTAATGACGGTCTCTTCATTTCTCATGGCTTATCTGTTTGTATTTATTGTCTATTTGTATATTAAGTTAGCTGTCTTTTTCATATTGATTTTCAGATGTTTTATGTGCTCTGGAAATTAATTTGTTATTGCCCATATGGGTTGCTTTTGTCTCTGTGTGTGGCTTATATTTTTTCCTTTTTAAAAACATACTGTTGTCCTGCAAAAGGTATTTCATTTCAATGCAATGATAGTTACTAATATTGTTGGTTAGGAGTCTGTATTCTTCATTTTTAAGGAAATTATCACTTACCTCAATGTCATAAGACATTCTGCTCTATTTTCTAAATGTATTAAAATTTGATTTTTAATATTTATGTCTTTAACTCATCAAAAATATAACTTATATTTGAAAAAAGGGGCTAGGTTTATTTCATTTTTCCATATGTGTAACTATGTTAGTTACTATGACGGTAGTTAGTACGAATGTTCATTACTCCTCTAGTTCTCTTCTCTCTGGGCCCACGAGAGGATAGGAGTGCTCTTTGGAACTGGATGTGTCCACGTGGCTCGCTTTGACCAATGGACTATGAGCAGAAGGATGTGTGTATACATTTAATGTAATGAGACTGGATCCAGAAAATAAGTAGAGAATTGGCTTTCTGCCTAGGTTCCCTCTGAGCAAATTTATAAAGTGGGTGAAGCTTTTTTGGATGTACCCGTATCGTTCTTCTGTCTCTGTCATCTACTGCCTATCCGCTTGTTATCAGGTACTCTCTCAAGGTAGCGTATTATTAAAGCACTGTCTATATTGACAAGACTTCATCCTCTGCACTTATCTCTTCACCCTCCACCCAAAAGCAAAGTATAGTAAAACAAACCTATCCTAAAATCCACTCTCCAAAGAACGCTACAGTCTCCCAGTTATAACTATTGGATAGGAAAATTACTAAGAAATTCACTGCTTCCTTTTTTCCAGCAGTGAGGTCATAGTGACAAGATATTTGCATTCTTATAGGGAATAATAAGGCTTCAAAAATCCACAGAAATGAATTTCAAAAGATTTGAATTTAAGCAGACTTTGTTTTAAAAAAACAGTCCTACCGCTTACTAGCTGTGTGACTTTGGACAAGCTTCTCAACCACTCTATACCTCAGCATTCTCATCTTTGCAACAGAGATAATAATACCTAGATTACAGTGTTGATACGAGAATTAAAATCAATTGTGTCCATACTGAATGCTTCGTAGAGTGCCTGGCACATAGTAAGTACTCATAAATGAGGCTATATGTATTATGATGTTATTGTTGCTCTTACAATTGTAATAGTGATTGTGCTATGCCTTGAGGTTAGGAGAACAGAAGTTTTAGGGTAGAGTGCTTTCCTGATATCACAAGACATTCCTAATAGCACAAGAGGCAGGCAGCTTTCTGCTTTGTCCATTGAGAAAAATTGCTTATTTGAGTATTATCTTTTTTGAGGCTTCAGAGGTAATACAAGGAGTTAAGGAATTGGCTATATATATATACACGTATATATATATATATATATATATATATGGATATATTTTTGAGACAGGGTCTCACTCTGTTGCCCAGGCTGGAGTGCAGTGGCCCAATCCTAGTTCCCTGTAGCCTCAAACTTCTGGGCTCAAGCAATCCTCCTGCCTCAGCCTCCTGAGTAGCTAGGACTACAGGTGCAGACCATCAGGCTTGACATATTCTTCAAACATTTCATTATTTTTGGAGATAGGGTCTTGCTATGTTGCCCAGGCTAATCTCAAACTCGCAAAGTGCTGGGATTACAAAAGTGAGCCACTGGGCCCCGTCCTGGTTATTTATTAAAAGTAATTATTGCTAATTAACCTGGCAAAAGTATATTATTTTTAAAGAAATAGAGATATTTGCCAACAAGTAACATTTTCACCATCTTTTCATTCTTCTTCTACATTGATAACTAAGTCAAAAATAATCTGCTAAACTTCTGGAAAACTTTGTACCATTCTACCTTGGAAAAAAAGGTTTCCTTTCATAGGTCCATTTCATATCTTCCAAAAAAGATGAACCTAGCTAGAGTTTTACATAATAAGAGGTGAAACGTGTAAGTTTTCATGAAAGTAATGAAATATTTTAGATTCTGATTTTATGTCACCTAAAAGGTTTTTTTTAAATCTCTCTCAAGTTTTTAGAAATAATTCTACCTTCTTCAAAATAAACCAAATAAACTTCCTTGTTTATGTGATTTCTTGTGGAAAGACACTATATCTAATCCTCTCCCTTTTAATTTCATAGACTCATAGAAGTCAGATTATTTTTAAAGTTTATATTATAAATTGTTAAAGACTAAGCAAGATGTATTTCTAAAAATTGAAACGGGGACAGTTGAAATACAAATCAATAAAAGATGAAAGTATTTTTAGTGATTAAATTAAATGACTAAGGGATTAAACTCATCCTAAGAACAGTTAATGGTGCTGATTGTTCAGGTCTCATTATGCCATAAATTATTAATTTATTTTCAAATAAGGAACATGTGAGACTTAATTAATTTTTACAAAATGTTTGATGATGTTATTATTAGAGGAAGTGTGGATCAATATTATTATTACTTTAACTATTCAGTGTGATTACAGCTTTCCTTGAATCTGCTTAGTTTGGACTTAAGTTATTTTATTTTATTTTTTTTAAATGGAGTTTCACTCGTGTTGCCCAGGCTGGGGTGCGATGGCACGATCTTGGCTCACTGCAACCTCCACCTCCTGGGTTCAAGTGATTCTCCTGCCTTAGCCCCCTGAGGAGCCGGGATTACAGGAGTGCACCATCATGCCGAACTAATTTTGTATTTTTAGTAGGGACAGGGTTTCACCATGTTGGCCAAGCTGGTCTCAAACCCCTGACCTCAAGTGATCTGCCCACCTCGGCCTCCCAAAGTGCTGGGATTACAGGTGTGAGCCACTGTGCCCGGCATCATAACTTTTATAAGTTTTTATAATTTGGTCTGCGTTGATAAGAAATAAACGAGTCCTGAAATCATCACTATCTTTATATGAATGCTATGCAAAAATTAATTTCAAGACCAAATACATCAGCCTGAACTTGACTCACAAGTACTTTTGTGTTAATGCTTTACCTGTAAAACTTTCTCAGCTGACTAACATAATAAACCTAGGAATAATATTGTATACTGCTATACTACTTTTCAGTTTACAAAGTGCGTTTTTGGGCATTAGTGCATTTAATCTTGGCAAAGTCTTTTGAGGTAAGGAGGAAGACAGGGCACCCCATTTCAGAGATGAGAAAACTGAGGCCCAGCGAATTCTCCTACAAACCAGGCTTATGAGCATTTCTAGGATGAGAACTCATTTTTTTCTGACGCCCTGGAGCCTAGATCCCTGTGCATGTTACTATGACAACTTAACACAGGAGTATGCAAATGTGTGTATGTATATGTGTGTGTGTGTGCGTGTGTACATATTTCTTTCACCTATGACCAAAAAGGAGAACCGCAGTAAATAGTTCCAGCATGCTTTTGCATGGTTTAAGGCATTTTATAGTCATTCATTAAGACTTTAATTTGGAGACATCAGCAAAGGCAATAAAACTCACAAGATTAATTGCTAAATTAGAAGGAAGATGGACTTAAAGTTAAATTTTACTTCTAATTCTTACTTGAATATGCTCTTTTGTCATTTTAAGATACAAATTGGGAAAAGGCTAGCATATGATTCTTTTTACACTGGAGTCTACACTTTACACTTTGGGATGTGTGGAAACTAACTTTGTTTTTCGACAGGGCAAAAGAGAGTCCAGGAATCTTTATGTTGAGCCAAAGTCCCTTCAAGTTAATAATTATTATTTGTGTTTATACCAGAACAAAATAAAACAATAGTTTACTGTATCTGAAAGATCAGCGAAGCTTAATATAGCACCAAATCAACCCTTGCTAAGAGATTCCAGATGGCCAGGGACTAGAGGCTGCAGAGGAAGCTGGGGGAAGCGTATTGCCCTGAATGCTACCACAGTTAATATGAACAGCATGACGGTGACATTACTTTCACTAAAAATGCTAATAATCTGGAAGGTTTGCATCACTATACCATGTGAACTTTTTTAAATATAATCTCCACTTCTGTCGGAATCGTTTTGATCATGAAGAACATTAATTCTACTGCTTCTCATTTTTTTCATTTATGTTAAATGATTAGAAATACAAAATCATATCCAGTACCTAAATGACTATAGTTGCAAAGGATATGTTTATAAGGTTCACTTAAATTATGAAAATATCTTTCACATAATACGAGCTTCTTTCTCTAAAAAGAATCAGCATTGAGTCTTCCTCCTTATTATCTTGATGAGTCAGCTTGTTAAATGAGTAATTTGTTAATGAGATAATTGCACCTTGAAAAGTTTCTATCACATATGCAATTTGTAAAGGGTGCTTTTAATACGTGACTTTAAAAATTGTCCCCATCAGAGATTGACTGATATAGAAAGTGAGGCAGGTATACTTATCATTGCAATAATACAGAGAAAACTGTATCATTGCATAGATGAACAAGCAAATAGCTTAAGAACTACGTTGGAGATGTTCAATTTATAAATATTGTTCTTAAAGTTTATTTTAAAATGTAATATTGTTTCTGCATCCCTATCATCAAAGAATATCAGTTAAATTTCCAATAATCGAAAACAAACTAAGTACATTAAATCAAAAGAACAATTGTGATCAGTGTAAGTAATAATTTTTCAGTTGTACCCTGTGAAACCTTAGGGATTTGATGTTTTGAAAACAATCCACTTTTGTGAATAATGTTTATGCATTAATTTGGTAGTGTATGGCCCAATTTAAAAGACTACGTACTCCAACTGTGCTGACTCTCATCCACAACATAGAGCACTCACTTGTGCACAATACTTGGTGTTGAAGCTACTTCCTGGAGCCTTTCAGTGACTAATGGTGACTCTCCTTAACGTGTTATTCTCCCTCCTGTGGTACAAACATGCGTAATCTGATTACCATTGGCATTTGCTCTTTGTAAGACTGTAATTATAACACCAGTCAAAGGCTTGTTTAAAATATTTCTGTTCAGTGCAGTTTTTCCAAGGTCAAGTTGCGATAAGTGGGGTAGAAGATGTTGGATCAATTTGAACACTATTGAGAGGGCTGCCGCATTTAGAGTTAAAATTAACGAGGATCCTATTTATGCGACTTCATCACAGCAACTCAAGAACTCTCCTGAAAACGCATCTCTAGTTTTTGTTTTTTAATGAAATGAAGAGCTTCATATTTGCTAAGAGGCATGCTGTTCAAGCAGCAGGGCCGGTGAGAGAGACGCCCTCTCAATGAAGATGAGGAAAGGGAGAATCCGACTGGCAGCCTGGACAGAGGAAGGGAAAATAGAATTAACAGAGGTTTTTGAACCAGAGGAGATATTTCAAGGTACAAGAAGGTCATATCAAAAAGGACAAGCAATGAAGAGATTCAAGGAGGCGGAAAGGCAGCATTAGGAAAGCGAGAACGGAAAATCATCTCAGCAGCCACATCCTGGAGCGAGATGATGGAAGGGGAAGCCAGGGAGCAGATAAGATCGGTATCGAACTGCCATTCAATAATTCTTACAAGGAAGAATTCACTAAAGTGGAAGCAACATGGGGTGTGCCACCGGAGCCTGGAAATTTCGTGATTTCTTTTTATTTATGGAGTATTTCCAAATTCCTTCTGGATGGACGCAAATTTTGTCATGAGCCTTGGCAGGAAGTTTAACCCACAGATTTAATATATTACAAATTCATGAACAGAATATTTCAAAGGCACACCTCCATCAGCTTTAGAACTATGAAAAAAAGATCATAGGGATATCTTTTTCTTTTAGTGTTTCTCAAAAAATAACTTGCACAAAATATTTTGTAAGAAACTCCTTATTGAAGGAGAAAAGAAAACAAAACACAGGACATGGCTGTGGCTACATAAAGGCCAATTCAGTTTATAATTTGTGAGGTAGAACCAGGCAGTGGAGTGTCAAAGTTCAGAGCATGGGCCACCCTAAAGTTGGAGGTA
The DNA here is from genome assembly GCF_000001405.40 of Homo sapiens. NCBI lineage: Eukaryota > Metazoa > Chordata > Mammalia > Primates > Hominidae > Homo > Homo sapiens. Next base: position 181,160,759 of record NC_000004.12, on the reverse strand, counting down.
AATCTTGGCCCCATCAATTTCTAGTTGAGTGGCATGAAGTCACTTAAATTACTCACTGCTTCAGTTGTTCAGATGTAAAATGAGGATAGAATTCTGCATAATTTAGTCATTGTGAGAATTAAAGAAGTTAATACCAACAACACCGTTGGAATTGCACTCAGCTTGTAGTAACACTTAATATCATCTATTAGGCATTAATAACTTTGTAATTCAAACCACGATTCAGCATCAACTCTGATTTTTATTCCTATTATCACCAACAATGAAGAAAGTTAGCATGTGTGTATATATATGCTGTGTACATATGCATACAGCATAGCAATATAATGTATAATGATAACATATAAAACTCTTATTCTGACAGTTTTTTTAAAAATGCCATTGCTTTGAGTGGGGCTTGCACATGTATTTTCATGTCATGATTGAACGCATCATACTTTTAATTACAAAAAAATCTAAAAACCCCTGTTCAAGTTGTTCATTATCAGTTTTCAGAGCAATATTAAAGGCCACAGTCCCAGTCGCTAAGCAAGTTCTTGGTATGAGAATAGTAAATTTAAATAGCACAATATGGATAGGCTAGATAAAAGGGAGAACGTTGCTGCAGGCCATCTTAATTCATTTTTCCTTTGAATTAAATCCTTGAGTCAGAAAGCAGAAGATGGAATGGTTGGGAAATTCTCAGTTATAATGTCAACGAGTTAAAAGGCTCACATATAGAATTCCCACCTGAAACTGTAGAAATCTTTATCAATGCTACCCCAAACTGGTTACTAGGACTCTGATTAAAGTCATTTAATTTGCTGAGGTGGTGTTTGATAAAATCTAGGGGTTTCTGATGGCTAGCATCTATTATATTTTGAATATAACTACTCTTCCAGTGACCTTAATCAGCCCTGTCCAGTTGAATTGTCAGAAGCTGTTTATATTAGTTTTCTGGATCTACTGTAGTGTCTGACATTGGTGCTGGACACATGAGTAGGGGCATAATACTTACATAGTATTAACCCATGCCATGGCAAGGTAAATAGCCACTCCAGGGTTCTTGGTAATTTTTAATTACCTGGTAGATGATTGCTATAATTACTTAAGACACAACAAAATGAGAAGATGAGAAAACTTAGTGTGAATTATAAGAGATCTTATAAATCTCAAGTGGAAAAATGAAGTATATTGGTAGAATCTAGAAGACAGCCCAAGGAGAATGTGAAAGAAAATAAAATTTGGGCATAACAGACAAAGGAACTCATGGAAATAACACGTAATAATGTCATGAAGAATGAACCAGAGCCGATGAGCAGTCAGGCAGAGCTGTATTCCATTTAAAACATCACCACCAACAACACAATCTCAATGCAGCTATATTTTCAAGACATAAGGGATGTAAAGCCAGGACTATTAGTGTGCATCAGAAGGAAAACATACAGAACACTCTATTTATAATTCCAGGGGTTGGCAAGGTATTTAATGAAGCACCGAGAGTTCTCAGTAGCCACCACCTCCCACGCCGTCCTCCTGTCTGCGGGCTTGCATCTAGCCACCAGTGCTGAAATAGTGCCTGTCCCATAGAACCATCACCCCTCAGAACTGAGCCTGGATGTCAGCCGTGGCCATGATGGCTCCGTCTCATTCTGTCACAGATCGTCTTTATAAGCCAGACATTTCAGTGCTATAAACTGATGAGGTAAGTAGTGATTAAGGCTAAGTGGATCTCGTTAATTCAGCAACACTTTAAAATAATTGAACATGAATAAAATGGCAAATTATAATCAAAGTCCTTTGGGAATACATTTGAAAGCCACATAATGCAACAGGAGTTCATCATGACTAATACTATTATAATTAATATTAAATGATAAAATAATGACTGGCTTTTATTCTTAGCTCAAATTGTCATGCTAGCAAAGGGATGCTTTGGCTTTCACATTGGAGTGAAGGGTGGGGACAAAGGCGACAGAGAACGAAAGCAGTCATTTTGTATTGCAATTTTTAAAGCTCGGCGTTTTTCCTTTTGAATTGCTTTGTTGGCTGATTCGGTATTTGGACTAGGAAATTTTCCATCATGCTATGATGTTCAAAAAGAACAGAGATGAGGGTAATAGTGTCCTGAAGTGAATTCTGAGGTTTTAAAGCCCAAATGTACAGGAGGCAATAACATGTTTGCTTTAAGAGCTTTTGAGATGTAAGCAGTGACCTTTGTGTTTCCAATAATGTCTGATAATTGAATGTAGACAGTGCGTATTGGAAAATAAGGTACTTGTAAGGCAAGGATCATATTCAGCTAGCCCTTATAATTGAGGGGCACAGTTTATCTGAGATTGTGAGCCCTGCCTCAAAGAACCTCAATAATCATAAGCAGTGGGGGATTGCCACTTTCTATAGCGAGGGCAGCGCAATTCTTGCCGCAGGTCACTCGGAACAGAAATAAAGAAACAAACTGCAGCAGAAGGCGTTTCGCATGATATTGCCCCTGGGAAAATGGGTGGCAACACCAAATTCCTGAAGATGGAGTGAACATCTGTGATGGTGTTTTTAGTGTGCTTTTGAAACTGATTATAATCTAAGAATTAGGTGGTAGAAAAGAGAAGCAGAGCAGCACAGAAGAAACAGATACATTTTATAAAAAATTTAGAAATCACATGCAAAAGTAAAGCCTCCAAGAAATAGATGACTTGGAAGTGAAGAGCCTGTGCAGCTTTTCAAAGGGACGGGATGCTTTTTGGCTGTATAATACTGAAGATGGCTTAAGTTCTTCAAAGTAGGAACTGACAGTCCACAATGATTTGTTTGTTTAATGACTATGATTTACCACTTCTCTGAGAGTTGTTTGTTACCGTGACACATTTAGGTCAAGAGAAATGAGCCCTCAGTTCAAATACAGGTCTCTGTCCTTTAGTGAACCGCAGAAATGGAGCCTACCCCTTCAGCAATTTTAAACCTCAAGGTATTAATAGTAGTTTCAGCCATGTGTCTCATATTCCATCCACATCCTTTTTGCTGAATGTACTTTATACACTGTCTTTACTATGGTGTGTCGAATGGTTCAGCTTTCACTTAAATGGAATGGCTGTAGTTACATGTGGGTTCGCTTTAAAGCAACTGAAAAAAAGAACTACAATCTCTGTTTTCCAATTTCAAAAAATAATCAACAGAAACACACCATCTGCAACTCCCATTTACCTGGCTTCTGAAAAATAAAAATTTCCTACAGATAAAGAATGAAATGTTGTGGTAGATTTTACAAGTCTAAATTCTTCTTTGTAACTAGACTGGGTGAGATGCTTAGATGCTTTACACATGACAATTTAAACTTTAGCTTATTCCTTCCTTCCTTCCTTTTTTTTTTTTTGAAAGAGTCTCACTGTATCACCCAGGCTGGAGTGCAGTGGCGGGATCTCGGCTCATTGCAATCTCCGCCTCCCGGGTTCAAGGGATTCTCATGTCTCAGCCTTCTGCGTAGCTGGGACTATAGGCACATGCCCCCAGGCCCAGCTAATTTTTGTATTTTTAGTAGAGACAGGGTTTCGCCATGTTGGCCAGGCTGATCTCGAACTCCTGACCTCAGGTGGTCCACCCGCCTCGGCCTCCCATAGTGTTGGGATTTCAGGTGTGAATCACTGTGCCCAGTAAATATCTTCTTGAGTGCTCTCTTCAGCCCTGGAGGTAATCGTTATGACCACAGATCATTTCTCCAGATTCTTTTGATTGTCTAAAATCTAATGTCTTTACTAACTTTTTATGGGATCTTTGACCTCCTCCACAGTGTCCTCAATTAATTGGACCATAGTTTTGGGTTGTTAGCTTGACACCGTAAGGGGTTGTGCTTTTAAGAAACACAATGTCGGCCGGGCGCAGTGGCTCACGCCTGTAATCCCAACACTTTGGGAGGCCGAGGCGGGCAGATTATGAGGTCAGGAGATCGAGACCATCCTGGCTAACATGGTGAAACCCCATCTCTACTAAAAATACAAAAAATTAGCCGGGCGTAGTGGCGGGCGCCTGTAGTCCCAGCCACTCGGGAGGCTGAGGCAGGAGAATGGCGTGAACCCAGGAGGCGGAGCTTGCAGTGAGCCGAGATCGCGCCACTGCACTCCAGCCTGGGCGACAGAGCCAGACTCCGTCTCAAAAAAAAAAAAAAAAAAAAAACCGCAATGTTATGTTCCATTTCGGTACAGTTAGAAATTCATATTCAGCCTTAGTAAAACATCTGAAACATCAAGTGTCTTTTTTGTTTTTGCCTGATAAAACACTGTGCACAGAATGGCTAGTTAAGTATAATGATGAACTTTCTATGGTCATAAAGAGTGCAACCTTTCATGAGAACTCATTTAAAATAAACTAAAATGCCACACACACTTGGCATGGAATATCATATTTTTATATTAAATTTCAAAGACATAATGAAAAAGAAAACCACCATCTCCAGTATGTTAAAACCTTTCAACGTATTGGAAAATATTACTGAGCATGGGTTTATATTTCTTAAATAATTTTACTAATCACTAAATTAAAATCTCCATATGTGGTAATATAAAAATGAATAAATCTTGCTCAAATAATATATTAAAATGTTTAGAGGAGAAAGGTATTGTGTCATTTTAAGAAAACTCAGAATAGTTTTTATTTTAGTAATTACCTACAAATGAATAATTACATTCAATATGGTCTGTAAAAACCCAAAACTCTCAACTATGATGAGAGTTGATGAAACAACTCTCTCATCATGATGAGAGAGATGAAAACAGACCTCCAGGTCTGGACAAAAGGTGTAAGCATTGGGGTCCAAAACACAGAAAATGTGGAACTTAGTGTAAATTGAGTGTTCTTTTAGAATGCTTAGATGCCTAATTATAAAACTAAGTTCTTTCTATGTAGTGCAGTCATGCCAAAATAATCTCTTCTATGCAATATTCTTTATACTACAAGTTATCTCCTTCTTTCTATCTCTTAGCAGGTATAGGAATAATCAAAAACCGTCTTCCTCCCTTTTTCCTCCCTCCCTGTCTCCATCTTTCCTCAGACACCCACAGAATTTAACAGAAATCGAAGGTGTGGAAAGGATCTCAGACAAGCGAATCCATCACTGTTACTGTACAGATAAGAAATGGAGGCCAAATAGGATTAGCAACTTGCTCAGGACTCCACAGGTAATAAGACTCAGAATCCAAATATGTATCTTCTGCTTGCTGGTGCATTGTTCTTTCTTTTATACCACACCATCTGATAGCCTCGTGTTCTCAAGGGCTTTCTAGTGTTTATTACTACAAGAAACAGGCCGGACCCCACTGTGTGGCATTAGAGCCCCACGGATTTTCCTCGGAGGGCCCTTTGTCTTTTGTGCTTCACAACTGAACTCCCCACTGCAAGACTTGGCGGAGGTGGAGGGAACCTGTCACAGGAGGGTGTCTGTGGCAAGGCTGGTAACCAGATTTTGATTTCAATTATCCATTTAATCATTATTTCAATAAATATTTATTGAGCACCTATTGTTTACCAGACACTGTTCTAAATATCAGGCATATAGCAATGGACAAGAACACTGTATTCATGGATTCCACATTTTCACAGGGAGAGACAGACAGACAGCTAATAGATAGATAGATAGATAGATAGATAGATAGACAGACAGATCATACATACATACATACATAGAGATATGTGAGAGATGGATGATTTATAGATAATAGGTATATAAGTAGAAAATAATGAAAGAGAAATAAGAGAGAGATAGATGATAGATAATAGATAAGCAGATGAAAAAGATGAGAGGGATAGATGATAGATAGATAAGAGACAGAGATAGATGATAGAGAGAGATTAAAAATGTCAAATGGTGGTAACTTGACAACTCTGTGGAGAAAAATAAACCAGGCAGGGAGTTAGGGAGCTTAAGGAGTGGGGTTGCTTTTTTTTATGGGTGCTCAGAATAGGCTTCAGTGGTAGGGACTCTCCAAGAAGATGACTGAGGAAAGAGTAAGAGAGTCACGCAACGCATGGGCTTCCGGGGAGATATGCAAACCACAGCACCTACATTTTACAGGGATCACTCTGGCTTTGGTGAAATAGACTGTAGAAATGCAAACAAAGAAGCAAAAAGTCTAATTGAAATGTTATTGCAATTCAGGCAAAAGTTGATGGTAGCTTGGGCCAGAGAGGTCGTGATGGCAATGTTTAGCAGTGGTAGGGTGTTAGATCCATTTTGAAGGGAGGGCCAACAGAACTGGCTGGTGACAAGGATTTGGGATGTGACTGAGAACAACTAAAGAGATACCCACTGGCATCTTCCAATTGGATATGTCAGGTAGGCCATTGGATACAGGAATCTGGAGTTCAGGGAAGAGTTTCAGACTACAGCTGTAACGTTGGGACTCATCAACTTCAAATGTAATTTAGCCATGAAACTGGATACTCTCACCTGGAAAGTCATGCAATACAGAGAAGGAATCCATGGATTGAGCTCTGGGACAATCTACAGTGTAGACATCAGGGAGATGAGGAAGAAACAGCGTAGCAGACTGGGAAGAAGAGGCTATGAGGTAGGAGGAGGAAAATCATGAATGAGTGGCGCTCAAAATACCAAGTGCAGAAAATATCAAGAGAAGGAGAAATTGACCACCTGTGTCGAATGTTGCTCATAAAGAGTAAGATGAGAACTGTGGGTTGCACAATCCATTTTGCAAAGAAATGGGTATTAGAGACTTGGCCTAGGAGGGCCTGGGGAGTGGTGGGGTCAAAACCTAATGTTTCCCTTGTTCTATAGAAAAAGGAAGCATAGGAGTTGGAGACAGATATGGGATAAATGTCTTCTGATACTACTAGCCATCCTACTAGGATAGGCTAAGGAAGGCTTCTTAGAGGAGATGAGACGAAACTGGTCCTAAACTTTGAACAGAACTTTGACAGGTAGATTTCCTGGAAGGAGCAGTGTTTCTGTTAAATTGAATTTTTTGAGAAAAAAAGTTACTGGTGGAAAGGTCAAGATATGCTAGCATGAAGAACAGCACCTAGAGCAATGGTGTTAGATGACAAAAGGAGAGGTGTCCTTGGAGGAGTGGAAACCCTGGGTGAGAGAAGAGGCCACACTATGGAGTCTAGGTGTTTTTCCTGCATGTGGAGGTATGGCACGGACAGTTTAGAACAGGATAGTGAAACCATCTGATCTCAGGAAGGTATCTCTAGTTCCAGTTTATTGGCTGGAGTTTCAGAAGAGAAGATGAGTGCAGCGAAGCCAGCTGAGTTGCTGTCATAACACCTCAGGGGAGAGATGAAGAAAGGAGGCACTAAAGCCTTAGCAGTTGAAATAAATCATAAAAAGCAAAGATTGAACAAAGTATTTTGGAGGTTTGATAGGATTTATTAACTTCTTGGATATACAGTAGGAAATGGGAAGGCATTTGCAACTAAAGGTGAGTGGAGTTTTGGTGATGTCATTAACTGATGCAGCAAAGAGGGCCCAATCAACAATGAATTTGGGGTGAGAACACTGTAGCCCGGCCCGTGCTGCTAAGGAGGTTTGTGCCATTTATTCATTCTCTCTTCTCTCTGACAGTCGCTCTTGACTTCAGTTTAATCACACACACAAAAATGAAGAATTAGAATCTGAGACCCATTTAGCTGCAGTAATCTATGATTTCAGCTCTAACAACAAAATTTTAGTCTTAGCCTACCAAGTTTGAAGTGTCATTAATAAATGGTATATAAACACCATCGAATATTGCATAGCCATGAAAAAGAAGGAAATCATGTCCTTTGCAGCAACATGGATACAGCTGGAAACCATTAGCCTGAACAAACTAATGCAGGAACAGAAAACCAAACAGCACAGGTTCTCACTTACAAGTGGGAGCTAAGCACTGGGTACTCCTACACACAAAAATGGGAACAATAGATCCTGGGGACTGCTTGAGAGGGGAGGAAGGAGAGGGTTGGAAGGCTACCCATTGGGCACTATGCTCACTACCTTAGTGACGAGGTCATTTTGTACACCAAGCCTCAGCGGCATGCAATGCGCCCATGTGATATGGTTTGTCTTTGTCTCCATCCAAATCTCATCTGAAATTGTAATCCTCAAGTGCCAAGGGTGGAACCTGGTGGGAGGTGATTGGATCATAGTGGCAGTTTCCCCCATGCTGTTCTCATGATAGTGAGTTCTCATGAGATGTGATGGTTTCACAAGGGGATCTTCCCCTTTCATGCTCTCCCTCTCTCCTGCAACCTTGTGAAGAAGGTGCTTGCTCCTTCTTCACCTTCCACGTGATTGTAAATTTCCTGAGGCTTCTTCCCCAGCCATGCAAAACTGTGAGTCAAACCTCTTTCCTTTATAAATTACCCAGTCTCAGGTAGTTCTTTACAGCAACGTGAGAACAGACTAATACACCATGTAACAAACCTGCATGTGTATCCATTGAACTTAAATAAAAGTAGAAAAAAAATTAAAAAATAAAGTTTTTCTCTCTTTGCACTTAAAAAAAAAAAAAGAAATCAGTATATGCAAATATTCAAAGGACTTATAGAAAAGGGCCTAAGGAGAAACGTCTAAAGGTGGCCAAATCTTAAAGATTTGAGGATCAAGTAGCTGGAGTATAGAAGGATCTAATTTAGGTCCCGGCTGTAGAGGAGAAGCCTGCCACAGTGTCAGCTTTCCGGAGCTGGAAAGGGGTTTATCCCTGGCAACTAGAAACAGCCTGAGCCTCCAGCGGCACTGGGCCACGCTTCCCTTCCAAGGTTCGCAGTCCCTGCCAGTGTACACAGAGTTGCATGGCTTTACCTTGAGAAGCAGAGCCTTAGTTCCTTTAAGTATGCTGCTATGAAAGCCTAAGCCCATACATATTTTGAGAGAGAATTAGGCCGAAGTGCTTAAAAAGGAAGCTTTCTCATCAGATTTGCAGATCCAGTGGTCTCCTGTCTTACTCATTTTTCAATCTGTTTGAATCCATGCCAGATCTTTCTGCTAACTCTAGCAGGGGACATACCCTTGGGGACATGATGCCTGGAACATAGTAGGTGACCAACAAATATTTGTAGTCTCCTGGTCAGATTGCTCAGAGGAGAAGAATACTGAGATTAGAGAAACTTGCTACTTGATCACCTCCTTTTTGCAGGAGGCTGGAAATAAACAAATAAAAAAGGCAACTAGATAGAGGCAAGTCCGTACTTCTACATGTAATGCTTTCTAGAATACATACATGAAAGACAAACAATAGATCAACAGATTCACAGACTAGAAAGGGAGTTCTTTTTCAGTAAAGTTAACCACACTCACACGCACACACACAGGTACATGCACACGATTTACTTCTCAATTCGATCTCTCCTTTAAATCTAATTCCAATATTGAAACACACACACACACACACACACACACACAGAGGCACACACACACACGTAGATTTATTTCCCAATCTAATCTCGCCTTTAAATCTAATTCCAATATTGAAACACACACACACACTACACACACACATTTATTTCCTAATTTGATCTCACTTTTAGATCTAATTCCAATATTGATCTAGTATCTTGTATATTCTCTCCAATGTAGTTTTTCCCAACCTGTAATTCACATTGAGCCCTCATTAGTCCAATGAGAGGCTGACTCAGAGTTTCCTGCTAGAAACACACCTAAACATTTCTGTTGATTGTGTTGTGCTTATAAAAACAGACATTCCTATTGCTAGTCTCTACTCTTTCATATTTCAGCTTTCCACTCCTACTTCTTATATAAGGACAAAAATCTAACTCAATCTTCAAGTAATTTTACAAACAGGAACTGCTGTATAGCTAAGTATGGGTGTGTTGATGAAACGGAACTAGTGTCTGGCAAGAGCAAGCAAGTGATATTTTGAATGATTGTTAATCATTTCAGGAACCGAATCCCAAATATGCACAAGAAATGCAGCTTAGAGGGGTAAGGTCTAATGGGCAAAAGTGCTTGAGAGGTAAAGTGTGAAAGTTTGGGCTGTCTTGTCAAATATGTGTGGCCTTTATAAATCTTATTGTTGAGCAGTTATAAGATTGGAGCAGGTTACTAACATTTGTTGCACACTTAACTGTGCAGCAAGCATTGTACATATTGACTATACGTGTGTGTGTATATATATGGGATATCATTTATTCTTTTCACTGATCTTATGTTGATGTATTATGATTTTCATTTTTCAAATGAGAAAACTGAGGTTCAAAGACATTAGTAACTTGCTCGAGGGCACAGAATCAACCCATGTAAATGTAGGGGTCCAGTCCTCGTTCAGGGGCACTGGCCACTGCAGGGCATTCTGGGTGATCTATAGCATCACCTGAAAGCAATGCAAGCTTGCTCCAGGAGTTCTGGTCTTCAGGCACTTTGATCCTTGGGATCATGTCACGCTACAGTGATTTCCTGGCAGGGAAGAACAATTAGGTTCCTGTGAAATATCCTGGCATCTGTCCATCCTCCATGAATGCAGCCTGACATAACCCCCCCACAGTCGTCACAGAAGACACACTGGGTTTAAGGCTAATATGTTCTTTTAATAGTTAATTCTGGAAGCCTACCAAGAGCTGCCATCATTTGAATTTGGCATGATTTCATTGATGCTTGTTGCTCATAATTTCATTATTCTCCAGATGTTAATGTATTTTTGTGTGCAGCTAATTTTTCTTTTGCCAATTATCTCTGTCAGAATTGTAAGGCAATTATCTTTCTGGTTATTTATTTGCATGTATATTTTACTAAAAGGTAAGCTCCACGAGGGTAGGGAATGTGTTTTTGTTCAGTGATTACAACTTCATAGCCCCAAAACAGTGCCTGAGGTGGCTGTGTGCCCAATAAATACTTGTCATTTGAATAAATAAGCGAAAAATGTACCCTTAATTTTCCTGTTTTATGGAGGCTATGAAACCAGAATGCTTAAAAAGATTATGAATGGGCTGGGTGTGGCAGCTAATGCCTGTAATCCCAGCAATTTGGGAGGCCAAGGCAGGTGGATCGCTTGAGCTCAGGAGTTCAAGACCAGCCTGGGCAACGAGGTGAAACCCCATCTCTACAAAAAAGTACAAAAATTAGCCGGGCATGGTGGCGGGCACCTGTAGTCCCAGCTACTTGGGAGGCTGAGGTGAGAAGATCCCCTGACCCCAGGAGGCGGAGGCTGCAGTCAGCTGAGATCACACCACTGCACTACAGCCTAGGTGACAGAGAAAGATCCTGTCTTTAAAAAAAAAAAAAAAAAAAAATATATATATATATATATATATATATATGATTAGATGGTTAAAAAAAAAAAGTCAGTGTTCATGCTTCTACCTGTAGATCATCAAGTGCAAATTTTGAATCCAGAGGGATTTAATCCTTGGGTTGTACTTCTCCGCTCTTTCAGGACCATCATGTGTGATCAACTCGAAGAAAGCGAATCACTTAGTTTTTCATTTTAGCAACAATACTAGTACAAAATGACTTATGCTAACATTCTTCCTATATATATTTCAATTAAAAATAGTACGCTGAATAATCCACTTTTTATTATCTACATCACCTCTCCAGTCTGTATGCTTCATTAACTGACAATTTGTTATCTCTGTTTTTAATCACTCTGTAAGAGATGGAATTAATTTTTCCTATGTCTTCTTTCATTTTCTCGGCTAAACACATCCACTTTTAATGATTTCAAAATATGGTCCCTGTTAGTCATTTTTCTGCCTTAAAAGCTGGAATCTTAGGTGGACATTTTGGAGGCCTAGGAGGCATTTTTGTTCTTCTTGTTCAAGCTTTAAACTGTCCTTTTCTTTTCCATATGAGCGACTGTAACCCACATGATATTGGGCATAAAGTGTTTAAGAAGTATTGTCCAGAACTACTCCTGCCTGGGGGACAGTAAATGATATTATACGAAGTGTCATGGTACTGTGCAAATAGGGAATTCATTTTCAATTCAAACTGCAAGCAGGAAGACACTCTTCCCTGCCAAAGGGGGTTTCAAACCCCTCATTAATAGAGTCCACAGCAGACTCGGCCAGCAGGAGAAGAAAAGGCAGCCACCAGCGTGGAGGATGCCGTGCCCAGGCCTGACACCCAGATTAGAGCACTGGACCACAGCACACAGCAGCTGCTGATAAGGTTAACAAGCAAATCTTTAGCGTTCGCAGCCTCTCCTCTAAATAAACCCATATGCAGAGATTTCAGTGTCCTGAATCAAGAAGTGGTCAGTTCAGTGCAGATCTCAGATTGAAACAAGGCTCCAGAGAAGTTCTCCAGTGAATGCTTCCTAAGGAGGGAGGGGGGCTGATAACATAACCCTGGGATGTCCTTTTACTTCTGTGGGTATGGATTCCTCGGATAAATGCTATGGACTCACTTATTATTAACAACAACAACAAAACAAAAACAAAAACAAGAAAAACTTTATTTGGGGAATAAAGTTTATGAGTTAAAAAATCTCTGTAAGCATTCTGTACAAATTCCTAGATGGCATAGTAGTCCTACTTCATTTATTATATCAAGTTTATTTTTCCCAGAATCTTCAAAACTACATGGGCGGAAGTTTTTCTGAGTATCCTCTTCCAGATCAGTACATTCCAAGCTTTAATGTGCCCCCGAATCACCTGGGGGCATTGTGAAAATACGGCTTCTGATTCAGAGGATCTGGGTGGGTCTTAGATTCTGAATTTTTAACCCGCTCCTAGGCGACGCAGAATCTTCTAGTCCATGGACCAACGTTGAGTCGCAAGGCTTTAGGTTACAAAATCTCGTACACAACTACAAAAAGTAGTGATGCTGATCATAACTTCACAGAAACCCTTACTATACCCGGGAACCACTCCTCCCAAGTCAGGTAAGGGCACTCAACATTAGTTGGCATTTTTTTGTGGGGGGTGAGGAGAGCGGGAATTCCCTCTCCCATACTCTGAGGCTAACTAGTAAGGTAATAACACCTTCACAGGGTTTTTGTTCAGACTGACTGGCTGTGTGTTTTTGCCCTTTTAAAATAAATGTTGATATCTTTGGTCTGGAGGAAACAAAGGAAGTCACGTGACTTGGAATTCCTGGTGGTGTCTTGAAGATGGCTGTTCTGTTTCTCAAGCGAGGAGGAGGAGAATAACATATGGATATATTGCGGGCCGCCCGTGCCATCTTCTGAATTGCCAGACCACGTTGTAAGGTGCAGCAGATGGCCGGAGCAGCGGGACGTGCCAAATGCTGCACTCCAGAGCCCTTCCGCAAGGTGCTTGCTCTGGGAGCAGTAGCAGAGCTCAAGAATATGCTTACGGCCCTTCACAAAGACAAATTATCTGGTAGCTCTTCAGATGGTGCTAGCAAAATCATCTCATTGGGTGGATGATTTACCTCCGCTATGCACTGGCAATTCAACACTGTATTAGGAAAGGGAAAAAATAACTTATTAAAGGTTTTCAAAATATAAACTTTTCTTTCGCAGAACTTGGGCAAAAAGTGCTGATCTCTGATGAGTTCATTCCTTGCAACAACAGAGGAAATGAGCTCAATTTCCTGTCGTGGATGAAGCCCTCACCTCCTCTCCTGCCTCCTCTCCCTCTGACGTCCTCTAGGCCCTTCTGCTTTGGACAGCATGGTAGTGCCCTTCCATCTTGACCTGCCTTTCTGGCCACCATGTTTTTCCTCTGAGGTTTTGTGCCTTCCCACAATGCTCTGCCCTACCTGGTTGTTTAAATTTGACTCATTCTTGAAGACACACTCATATTCTAGCTCCGCCTAATGGTCTTTCCAACCTAAAGTAATACTGCCTTCCTCCACACTTGTCAGATCCCATCATTTGACAGGCAAGAGTGTCTCTTTGTGACAGTTCTTAATTTTATTGTCCTTCTGTAACTTCTCAAATGGATATGAGTTCTCTCTTCATTTAGCTGATAAGCTTCTTTAAAGCGACAAATATTCTTAGAATTTTCAAAAGCATGGCAGTCGATAAATACCTTCTTACTTAGGTTTTGAAGTGAAACACAAGGCAGGTATAGACCGTGGCCTTCCTCTCAAGGCCCAGGGCCCCTGAGCCCTGTGTTCAGAACTTCAGTGCTCATGAACACAACACCAAAGACAGGAGCAGGGATGCCAAGACTGAGGCCCCATTTCTCTTTCCTCCCAGCAATGGGTTGAGGACAACCCTTTCTCCTTCTATAGTAGCTGTCCTGCCGGTTTGCTTCTTGGGCTCCATGGATTGGAGTAGGTGGAGTGGGGGTAGCCATGCTTATGCCTGAGGGTAGCTGATGCTGTTATTTCCCGTGTCTTATTCTCCCATCATTACTCAGGAGACTTCTTATCCTAGGAACTCCAGGACCTGAGTCTGGATTTGTGTAGCACACACTGGATTCAAAAATATATTGTTAGTTGTCATAATAATGTTACAGAAAGCCATTATTTTGTTTTGAATCAAATTTGAAATCCTTCCTTGGAAGGAGCCCCCACTCAGTTCAAGCCAATTGGCTTAATATCTCCATCACCTAGTCATTCCACACAAGCCTTTTCCAAACTGTGCCATATTCTTGGAATGCTCTCTCTTTCTGTCTGCCAAGCTATCTCTCTTCTAGCATCCAAATAGCTCATGAAATCCCAGCTCCTGTACACAGTCTTCCAGAACTATTTGGAAAAGGTCTAATAGCTTCCCTCTGCACCATCGGGTGTGAGCATTAGCCACTTAAGGCTCTCTCACTCCTCACTGCTCTGCTAATGCACTTGTTCTTGAAATGGACAGCAAGTTACATTAACCAATGTTTTGCATTGCTCAATTGTCTGCATTTTTTGCCCTTATATAGATTGTCTTTATATTCAGATTTGTTTAGGCTCATGGTCTACTTTTGACAGATTCTACGGAAATAAGACTATAACTAAATCTCTTCTTACAGTGCTGAGTGCTGAGTGTAATATCATGTAGACACAGATACTTAATGCATAAGGAGATTTCTCAGATTTGACTTTTTAATGTACAAAGAATATGGAACATATTTAATATTTCACAAGTCCACCAGGACCTGCCAGAGACCTCTGTTAGCCTTGGGCAAGGATGGCAATTTCCATGGGGGTTCATTTCTCAGTTGGCTGCGCAGTAGCTGCCATTGGTAGTAATTGTAGGCAGTGCAAAGGGGAATTAATAGGATGTCTTCAGCGCTGAGGGACAAGATCAGGAAAGGTCATTCTCTGAGAGGGAAATCTAGTAGGAGCATAGCATGGCTTAGAGTAGTAAGCTACGAGAGCTTCCCTTCCGTTAGAGAAGGCTGAAGAAAGCAGTGCTAGGAACAACTGGGAAACCACCTTCGACTTGGCAAGTGCCTGGCACAGAGTGGGTGCTCACCGTGGATTTGTCAAATGCAAAAAGGAAGCAGCTATTTCAAGAACAGCAATGTAAGCTACAACCTAATTGTTGCATTCCAGCCTATCTGTCTGAGGAAATAACTTGCTAACGGAATTTTCTGGGGGCTGTCTGAAAGGTTCCAGAGGGAGCCAAGGAGGAAGAGAAAGTATTTATGTTTATCCAGCAATGGTCAAAAGAGAAAAATACCATCGGCAGAACCAGCTACATAATTTGCAGCACCCAGTACAATAAGAAAATGTAGGGTCTCTTGTTCAAAAATTATTATGTTCTCACTCATAGGTGGGGATTGAACAATGAGAACACATGGACACAGGAAGGGGGACATCACACATCGGGGCCTGTTGTGGGGTGGCGGGGGGAGGGCTAGCATTAGGAGATATACCTAATGCTAAATGATGAGTTAATGGGTGCAGCACACCAACATGGCACATGTATACATATGTAACCTGCACATTGTGTACATGTACCCTAAAACTTGAAGTATAATAAAAAAATTATTAAGAATTTCAAGACAGTGACAGCACAGCATTAAGCCAAGCACAGGGCCCCAGTAAGCGCAGCAACTGCCCAGGTTTCATGCCCTTACAGATGCTCTGTCCAGTAGATGTGATTATTGTCACTACTTCTCGTCAGCCCATTTAGATCACTGGCCTAATCCAAAAGCTGGACAAAAATATCCTCCTTCCCAATAAATCTTTTCTGAAATAAGATACATATGGGTCACAAACTCTGGTACCTTTTTACCAGAAGGGTGATTGTTGGAAAAGAAGAGCTCAATTTTATTCAATCCTCTTTCAATTTCCACACTAGTCATTTGAGATTTTAATTCGCATGCACATTTGGCCTCCGTCTCCTTGTAGCTGCACATCTTGTGTAAATCCCTTGAACTCTCTGTCCATTCGTTCTTGTCATCGTAAAATGGGGATGCTAAACCTCATCTCTGGGGTTGATTAGTATTAGGTTGGTGCAAAAGTAATTGGGGTAATATTTACTGACATCCTGAGTGTGAATCTTCTGGTGTAAACAATTCACTTCCTGAGAATTCCCCACACTCACAGTTGTGTGCATAAATCCTTCATCTGATACTGGATAAGTCAGCAGGTCTCCAGGTGTGCAATGGTGAGGACAAGGTCCCTAATATCAATCTATGGAAGAGGCAGCTTGGGCAATTATCTGGCCTCCTCACTCTCCCTGTAACAGAATTTACCCATGAAAGTCTGCAGACCTTGTCGCTGGGGAAGAAGGTGGGAGAAAGAAGAAGAACCCAAGACATTTCTGTTGCATCGCTCATTATCTGCAGTTGGATGCTATCAACTGCAGTCTACTAACAGCCTATTTCATTTCAGGGAGGAGACCTGAATGAAAGCATGGTGGGGATTGGGTGAAGGTAGGAATAAAGAGAGATGGAAAACAGATTCCGCACTTTGACAAGTGGGATGCAAAGATGCTGTAGTCTATTTGATCAAAGTGGGGGAAAAACACTTTTGTCAAACTGTCTGCTTTGTTTACGGGCAGTGCCATTCTCGCACATCATTTGCCTCTTTGCATAAATGCTCTGTCTACATTTTTTATTCACCGTTGGATGATCAGTGCAAGGCATGTTTTTCTCTGCAACAGATTTATTTAAATTTACTGAACTCTTAAGCAGTCAGCTTACAGCAACTACTATAATCTCTTCTTCTTTACTCACAACCAAAGACACATATCACACAAAGAATAATAAAAGTAGGAGGAGGATTAGGAGAATTTTGTGTCACAGTGAACAAAGCTCAGCTAGCATTATGCTTTAAAAATAATGGCTTTTCTGTCTCATAGGCAAGGAGAAATAACTTTTCCACCACATAATAAATTTATTAGCCTTTTTGACCTCATCATTCCTACCTTAACTTAGATACAGCATCAAAGACAAGAACATCTGTTCGACAGTAATATTTCCAATTCAGCGTCTTTAACATTCACTGCTTGCTGCTGCTCCAAAGTTACTGCGTGAGCGCCACCTGGTGGCAGTTTTGTAGGTTGCGCAATGTAATATCACATAAAGGTAAAGTATGGGAGTTGGATTTTTCTTTTCACCACGCAAAGAGCTTACTAGTAGGCAAACGTCTTGAAATAATTGCCATAAGTCTGGAGTCTGTAATACACCTTAAAAACAGTAAATAGTACATTCTTCCCTTTTATTGTTACCTAAACCCAGCCGTTTCCCTTTTTTTTCACACCTTGCTATTTCTGACTGAAATCTCGTTTTTCCTTTGCATCTTATTCCAACGTGTTCTCCCATACACTCCTAACACCTTCAAGATGTAACTCTTTATGTAGTTCCTTCAGAAAGCCTTCCTGGTCCTGTGTGTTTCAAGATTCCAAGAGAAACAGACAGCACATTAAAACTGGATTATTGGAGAAGAGTTAATAATTCTAAAAAGCGCTGACGGAAGTATGGGCAGGATAGAAGGAACCCACAAATGATATTGCAGAATTCCAAGAGTAGTAACCAGTGCCCCTACTACCTAGTTCTAAAGGCGCAAAGGGACAGTGGCTCTGGGGAGCGAGTGGTCTGACAGGCAGGTGACCTCTGTGGAGGGTCCAGGTCTTCCTATCTCCTATGGATGCTCCTCATTGGCCAATCCCAACAGCAAACCTGAGATCAAGGGAAGCCAGTCCCCTTTGCCCCTGGAGGCATGGGCCATGGAGAGAAAGGCATTGATAGGAGGTGTAGGGTGGTTAACAGAAGGCATCCACCACTGTCCCCAGCCTGAATCCCTCCCCCATCATCACGGTCACCCATGGATGATAATGCATTTATAGATAGAAGATCAAAAGATTAAATATAGATACAAACCATTATATTGAAAGACTAAATGATGGAACAAATCACAATTTTCCAAGATTTATAACTTGTCTTTCCTCTCAGACTGCTATCTACCCATTCTTAGCTACCTCTAACTTCCTTCATTCAGTGCTGCTATACCTCAGCATTTGCCTTGTTTAAAGGTGTGCTAGGGTATGTTAATAGCAGCTATGCTTCAGGTTCTGCTAGTAGGGACCTATTGTCATTTATCACTTATCATGGACCAGAAACTTGAGGATTCAATGTAATAAATTAATGTTAATGAATGTCTGCCATGTTCATGTCCCATCTTTCATTTTTTGAAGGGCATCTCAGACTTCACCGAGTACATTCTTTCTCTCCCACTCACTCTCCCTTGCATCTCTCTGTCTCTTTTGAAATTGGGGTATCTTTGAAAGGTGCCCTCGCTGTCTAATTAAGTAGGGGATACATAGCAACAACTTTTAAGTTCAAAACAGCAACGAGCAGCCTGGTCTTTGGGGGAGGTTGCATTTGCAGGTTGGTATATCAGTCCCAAAGTGAAGGGAACTTGCAAAATTAATATGCAGCCTTCATAGATATGCTGACATGAATCTGCAGGAATCTGCTGAAGTAGAAGGAAAGGGCTACTTCAAAGCATTTGAGAAAGTCTGTGTTGACTTTCACATATGTCTTGGAGCAGCTCACGATTTTTGACACACAGTGCAGTAACCTGAACAATGAAATCTTATCCTAATTATGGTCTTTCTTTGAAGAGACCACATATCCTATTCATTACACCTAGATCTTTAAGTTTTCCAAAAGGTCTTATGAAATTCCTTTATTCATTTGTTACTTGTTGATTTGGTTTTGTTAAGAAGAAGTGCTTCATGATTACCATCAAAATAACAAATAATATCGATTATGCCACATTCAAATTTTTGGGTGATAATTAAAAATCTCTAGATATGAAAACAAAACTGAACACAGGAAGTGACTCAGAAATTATTAGGCTACAAGTATTTCATAATTTGAGATTTTTAGGTGG
This sequence comes from Homo sapiens, assembly GCF_000001405.40. Lineage (NCBI taxonomy): Eukaryota > Metazoa > Chordata > Mammalia > Primates > Hominidae > Homo > Homo sapiens. The sequence continues at coordinate 181,141,594 of NC_000004.12, read as the reverse complement.
GAAGAAATTTTGTAGAATACACATCATTCTACTTTTATAGAATTAGATCATTCATGCCTTGCATTTTATAAATGAAGAAAATGAGATCAGGAGTTCCCTCACACAGTCAAAGACAGGGGCTAAGTAGTTGCAAATTTAAAACCATAACCTACATAGCATGAGTCCTCACCCAGTGCTGAGAATGTTAAAGTAAAATAGGACTTGATTATGTGCAAGGGTGATTCTACTAATACAAAACATGTGTTGGTGTTCTTTTTCTGAAGTAGAAAAAAATAGGAAGATTGAAATCATCTTCTACCTCCTTCTTCTCAACACATTTAATAACAGTGAGAGGGTAAAAAATAAAGAATGGTTTTGTGGTTCAGAGTCAGAGGAGAATAAACTCATATACTCCAAAAATCACTATCTATCAAAGTATTGCTCGTTCCTTGCAGACTGGAAACTGGGTAAAGAGGAAATTGAGGGGCAGGGAGTGAGAGAGATGTTTTGGATGTGAAAGAAGTGTGCATGGATGTGTGGGTGCATGCTGGTGTTTTGGGATCCTTGAGGGTCAGGGACCTCCAACGCGGTTGGCATCATAAGCATTGTGACCTATGGAGCCTTCTCAAAGAGCCCATTACTGAGCTTGGCATGGATGGCAAAGGTGGCGGTGATATTGCCAATAAAACAAGCTGCCTGGGCAAGGATCAAAGGCAAGCATGCACCTAGCTCTGGGCCCTTTACTCTTTTTCTGGACTGCATAAGCCCTGGCGTGCTACCACAGCCCAAGGGTAGGAGAGGGCACTCCAAATTGACTGTTATTGGACTTCTTGTCAACCTTGATGACAGTGACCTCACGCTGGATTTAATCTGACTTAGAAAAATAAGAAAAAAGGTGACTTTTTATGCACCCTGAGCACCATGGAGCAAGTTGCACCTGTTTAAGTGTAAATTTTCCATTGTTACAATATGAAAGTTATTTCGATGGGTGAGGGGTGATGAAAGCTCAGTACTAAACAGATCGTTTCATTCACCAACTTTTATTTTTAGAAAGTGTCTTTTTTATTTTTTTTAAGAATAGCGTTTCTTACGATACCATTTTTCTGGCCTACTTAAAAAGAGAAAAAATGGATTTTTACGATTGTTTTTGTAGTAACATAAGCTCTTCAGGGCAAAGGGTTTGTGCAGTGAATTGCAGCCCAGCATGAAATGTTACAGCTGAATTATGAACCCCTGCCAATAAAAGTTTACAACAGAACAGCCTGGCTGGTCTAGCTTTAGGAACAGAGGTGGAGGAAATGTACATGAGCTCACAGACACTATTATCCTGGAAATATGATATTAATGATTGCACAGTCTGAGAATAAAGAATTAAAATGTGTGAATGAAGTCAATTAGAAATACTTGAGAGATACGTCATTTATTACCCAAGTCGTGTGCACATTATTTACTTTATACAAATGTAAACTCAAAATGATTTGACATCTCTTTCAATTCCATAATTAAATTAGAAGATTTGAGAATTCACAGGTTTTAAAATGAGACTACTATTGACTTTAAATTATCCCTGTTAAGAGGGAAAGTAATAGAATGAATAAATTAAATTTACTCAACATACCGCAATGTTGTATCATTAATTTCCCTCCTAAAGAAAATTATTTGCCTATTGAACACATTTATACCACAATTACCCATACAGTCAATATTTTAAAGAATCAAGGAGGTATTTTTTTTTTTAACACAGAGATATGATTGGCTATGCTTTATTTTGGAATGGGGTGGAGTGGAGCAGGATGGGGGACTCAGGCAATCAAATAGAGCCATTAATACTTGCCAAATGGATTTAAAATAAATAAGGTGCTCTATTTCTTAAGTAATTGAAAATTCCTTGAAAGGTCCTAAATACAAACCTCCATAAATATAGCCGACTTTCTATGGGAATCACATCAACAGAACTGTGCTTCGATCTGCCTGACCTCCCCTGCCCCCAATCTTTTTCTTACCTGATGGTGATGGGCTCAGTGTATGAGGCCCAGGAATACTCTGGTCAGTAGGAAACATTCATATCATTAGTTCTCATTGCCTAACATCCAGGGCTTGTAGGAAAATTATGACCTGACAGGTAGAGTAGGGAGGACTATCGGGGGTCATGAACTCCACTACTGACTCTGCCGTTTGCAACGATGGCACTTATGTAGAAAGTCGCCTAACTGCCATCTGCTTCAGTGTCCTCCCCAGCACAGTAGGAACCACCACTCACCATGACAGGGGAGCTTGGACTCACAGGGTCTCAGCTGGAAGAGGTGTAAGTCATCAAAGGGATGCTGGGAGGATTTGGATGGAATGTTATAGCAAAGCATTTTACAGAAATAAAGTGCAGAGTGGTATATCCACATTGCTTTTCTTTAGGGAAGAGCCACTCTTACTATAAGCTGTAGTAGCCAGAATAACTTATTTCACAGACAAAATGGGAATCATCACCACCATCACTAAATGATATATTTTCCCTATGTTCCATGCAACAATGTCTTGTCTTCTGAAACTGCCGAGGAGTGTACATGTGCATGTTCATTCATTTGTTTAGTTGTCATCCAGTGATTTAGCGCCTACCAAGTTTCAAACACTGCTGGATGCTGGAAATCCTGGTAAATACAACATATCTTTACTCTCAAGGAGCTCACCGTCTTAAGTGAGGGAACACCAAGTAAGCCAACAGACACATCTGGCAAATAATTACAGGGTGATGCAGAAATGCATAGAAAAGAACCTGATTAAAAGAAGAAGGGGGGTGGGGGTTGCAGAGAAGAACAGAAGCCTTCTTAGAGGAGGTGTCAGCTGTTTAATCCTTTTGACATTTCAAGGATGAGAAACCCATTGATAGAGGAAATGGAAGAGTAAAGGAACTGGATACGGCAACTTCTGGCAAAGGAAAGGGCCAAAGGCAGGAGAGAAAGCAGCAATCAGGGAATTTTTGTTGAAGATAGTTGGCATCTGAAAAATGATTAGCTTTGCATTCTACAAAGATAATTCAGAGGTGAATGGATGAAAGGGGAGGAAGAAACAAAGGAAACATATTGTTTACTTGTATGTTTCTGATTTCCCACAATGAGCATCCATTATCTAGACTCTTTAAATTTTAATGTTCAGGACCTGGTTGCAGTGGCCGTGAGAATGCACCTCTTAGATCAACTACAAGAATGTAATTGACAAAGGGCCCCAGCTACTGGGCTCTGAAATTCATCACAGCCTCAGCTCCAAGGCCGGGCTTCCCACTGGTGACTCCCAGCCAATGACTGAGCATGGCAGCATACACAGACAAGTCATTTCCTGGGAGCCTGGCTTCCCCTCTTGGAGCACCGTGACTCGTAACTCCCAGCAGCCTTGCTGCACCTTCTTTTTTTTTTTTTTTTTTTTTTTTTTTTTAAGACTGCGTTTTGCTCTTGTTGCCCAGGCTGGAGTGCAGTGGCACAATCTTAGCTCACCGCAAACTCCGCCTCCCGAGTTCAACAATTCTCCTGCCTCAGCCTCCCGAGTAGCTGGGATTACAGGCATGTGCCACCATACCCGGATAATTTTGTATTTTTAGTAGAGATGGGGTTTCTCCATGTTGGTCAGGCTGGTCTTGAACTCCCGACCTCAGGTGATCCGCCTGCCTCAGCCTTCCAAAGTGTTGGGATTACAGGCGTGAGCCACAGCGTCTGGCTTGCCGCACCTTCTTTAGACTGCAAAATGCCATTTCCTCTCCCTTCTTCACTTTGAGTTAGACCAAAATATCACAGTCTGAAACTCTCCCAACCTCTCTGCTCCCTCCCCATTTTCACTCATAGGTATTCCCCCTAATAAAGTCCCTGCACATAACGTCACATATTGGCATCTGCTTCTCAGAAGACTTGCGCTACTATACTGGCACAGTATGGTTTATCAAATAAATACTCCCTATAAAAATACAAAATTATGGATGACTCGAAATTAAGGTTAAGTCTTATTAATTCTCATTTTTATCCCAGTACCTGGCAAAAGAAGATAGCCCCATGGTTTTGGAAGAATGACAAAAAGAATAAATGAGCCTAGTGTTGATCACGTGACAATGTTTTCCCTTTATAGTTCAAGGTGATATATTAACCATGCTAATTTTTTTATGAATGCAACAAAAAACTTGAGAAGCAATGAGCTTTTTGATCACTGAGAAGCTGTCTTGTCCAATGTGATTGGAAGCAGTAGTGAGGTTAACTTTAGAAAGTCAGTTAAAAAGGAGAAATCATAAAAGTGATTCACATCTTAATATTTTATTACCACTCAAAACATATTCATATGCATCTATTTGTCAATGTTTCATAGAGTCAAGAGCTTTTCTCTGAGTGGAGTTCACTGAATTGGCTTCTAGTGTTCTTCTTTTCCTGCATTAAACACACTCTCATAAATTGCCTGTAATTTGTGGTTGTGATTCCTTTAGAGTTGAACTGGAACTTCAATCTAAGTCTAAATTCCATCCAGATTTCAATAATTTTCCCTAAGTATTTGGTAGTTGTCTTGCCTATACCTAATGTTAGAGTTTATATATGTCTGTGCATGTGACCTGGATTTACCAGCAGGGTCTCCACTTCCGTGGTCGTGTTTCCATGTGAAATAAGTTACAGTCAGCCCTACTGACGACCTTTACCATTAGGTAGCAGAAGGAAAGGCATGGTTGAACTGGGGAGAAGCAGCTGAACTGACTCAGACAAGATAATTTCTTTCTCTCTTGTGAACCCAACCTTTCCACAGGATTGACACATCTCCTGCCTCTTCACAGCAATACGTTTTCCAACTCTGTGGTGAAGGCTACCAGTTGCCCAGAGCTATCTATTATTCCACAAGCATGCCTCTGAAATTCTGGAATGATGCACCACTGTTATTACTAATAAAACCATGATAGGTGTATGGAACCCAATGGTGTCACCACTGGATTCCATATGCCTACCTTGGTTTTATTAGTGGTAACACCGACATTTTAATCCCCATCTGCCTAACTCCTGTGTCCTAATTTGGGAAGTAAAGAATCCACAACTCCAATAATCTTTATATAGTCTTCCAAATTGACTTTAGTGGAAACAATTGTTTTCACGTGCATACTTAGTCTGTTATATAATAGTTAACTAAATGACCCAGTTGCAATAGAGAATGACTGATAGAAACAGATTTGAGAAATTAATAACCGACTCTTGCTAAATATTTCATCTGCCATGTGGAAGTTCAAGTGAGAGGGCATACTTGAATGTAGCCTACGAGCCCAGAACATTCAAGAAGAATGAGCATCAGTCACTACACATTTTCAGAGGAAATAGAGAATGCTTGTTCACTTAATGAGCTTAAGTGGAGGTTGTGTAAGAGACCTTGTGCTGGACTTACATGGATGCATTATTGGCTGGCATAGTAAAATCCAAGGCTACCTCAGATCCAGCATCTTCCACCTGAGGCTCTCAGGCAGGCTAGGCTATTCCTGTTTACATGGATGTCCGTGGTTCCAGTTTGGTTTCCTTTCTGTGAGAAATTGCTTTTGATATAGGTTTTTTCTTAAGGTTACCCTTGTGTGAACCATTTGAACTTGTTTCTAAAGTATCCTAAGAGTTTTTACACAGTTTCTTCCAATGTCCATCAACGCTTAGGATTCTACCACACCCCATCCCTTCAAAGACCTGTCCCTTCAACTACTTTTTTTCTCCTTTAGCATTTTGAATCTTTTCTTCCCTGTAGACTCCATCTCTGGGAATTTCAAACATATTTTACTTCACAAATCTAAAAATTCCCCCTTCATTCTGCTATGCCTTCTGGACAGAACCTTCCAATCTCCCCGTTTCTCTTCAAGGATGAACACGGCACAGTCTCAAAAAAATCCCACCCTCTCTCCCAGAATTCCTGAAGTGGCTCTTCTGAGTGACCTTCCTGACATAGCAGGTCTTTTTCTTTTTATTCGTTCTCTCTAAGCTTCTTTGAACATGTGACTTGAATCCTCTCATCATTTATTCCTTTCAAGTCCCAGTGAACACGATTTGAATTATTCCATGTTTTCCTTCTGCTATGACTGGGCCTTCTCCACCTCTTCCTTACTTCTTCCACCTGCCAAGTGTGGCCAAGTTCAGTCAGACTGGCTGGGGCCAAACACTACTAGCCATATGACCTTGGGCAAAATACTGCCTTATTTGAACATGAGGGATAATATTCATCATTACCACACATTTATTATGAGGGTGAAATTAGCCAGTGTATTTAAAAAGCATTACACATTGATGCACAGCAAATGTTCGATGTACACAGCTAGACAAATAAAAGCTGACTTTTTCTTAGCTTTTTGTTCTTTTTTCTTTAGGCTCAATCTTTCATAACTTTTTTTTTTTTAAATCTTGGTTTCAAGGACTTCTGTATTCGTGTCTCCTCAGTCTTCGTATTTAAGCCTGAATTATCTCATTTATAATCTAATCACGTTTCTACCTATAAAACATACCTGCTTCAATATTGTCTGTGCTATTTCTATTTCTGTCATAAACTCTTACATTAATCTTCCTTCCCAACTTTCTTTGAATAGCATAAGTGTTTGAAGAATGAAACTATTTCTATGCTTCAATTGCTTCTCCAATATTCCTCCAATCTTGCTTTGAGAGCTTCAACACTTGCCCCTTGAATCCTGTCATAGCCTTTTAATTAATGTTCATGCCTCCAGCCTCCAGACCTGAAATCCATTCACTTTAATACAATCAATATTCATTGAATATCTATTATTGTCTACGCATTGTTCAAGGTCCCTGGGAGACGTCTGCAAACAAGACAGACAAGGTCCCCACTTCAAGGCTCTCTTGGTCCCACACCATGCCTCTCATCAAGGCTACACCTCACAGTCACCTGAAGCTCTTTCATTTGGAGCCTCTTTTTTATAGCTGCTTTTCTTTTTTGTTGTTGTTGTTTAGAGTCTGCTGGAGTGCTGTGGCACAGTCTTGGCTCACTGCAACCTCTGCCTCCTGTGTTCAAACAATTCTCCTGCCTCAGCCTCCCGAGTAGCCGGGATTACAGGCTCCCAGGCACATGTCACCACGTCCAGCTAATTTTTGTATTTTTAGTAGAGATGGGGTTTCACCATGTTGGTCAGGCTGGTCTTGAACTCCTGACCTCGTGATCCACCCACCTTGGCCTCCCAAAGTGCTGGGATTACAGGCGTGAGCCACCATGCCTGGCCTTATATCTGCTTTTAAACATTGCACAAGTGATTGTGATAAGGTGCAGGGTGAGAAACATCAATATCTATCTTCCCTTGCATAGCTCTCCATCATCTTCCTAAGCCACTGTTGCTCTGGTGTTACTTTCCTGCCAAACAAAGTGCAGCAGCCTTTCCCTTGACACTAGCCATCCTGTCTTGGCCTTGAAGAATTATCTTTCTTCTGTCCTCACTACATCCATTCAATCTTCTCAGCCCATTCATTTATCTGGGCCATTTCTCAAGCTAGATCCCATGCACCACACACCCTCCCTTTATATTTCCACGCACCCAGACTCAAATTGTAAGTTTAAGCTTCACCCCTTCCACAAAGCCCTCGAAGGCTGTGAGCTGTGCTCATCTTTCCCTTCTGTGCATGCCATATGTGTTTGACAACATAGCAGAAAAATAGAGAGAGGTGGCCTTTTCGTTCTTGGGAATTTTGACTAAAGATCCAAAGCTGGGTATGAAATGATCTGGCAACCCAGTCCACCTCTCACTTCAAGCTAAAGCAGTAGAGGGACTAAGATGGTAGGAATAGGGGACTTCTCTGCAAAGAGTTGCTACAGTGTGCATCACTGCATTTCACGCACGTAAATGGGGTTGGGGAAATATCTTATATATCTGGCTTCACCTCCCATCAAATGAGAGGGAATTCAAGACTAGGAGCACTTGTCAGAAGAGGAAGTTGCTCCTTCCCCAAGCAGGACCCTTGCTGCCCTGGATGCGTTTTCTGCTTTCTCACTTCAAAAAGCCCCGCACAGAGCTCAGGAGAGAGCTATTGGAGATGTTGGCCTGTTTTTCCAGAAGTTTACAGGGCCCAGGGGCTGGTGCTTCCTAGAAAAGCTTGCATGGGCAAAGGGTGTGCTGGAGTTCCCTACCTTAGCACAAAGAAAAGAGTACTGGAATGGCAGCAGCTCACACTCCCCAAATATGTCAAGGTCAAGTGGATACCATGGGAGGAGGCTGGATTTGTTCTGCCCTGAGAGGAAACTGTTCAAAAAGACTCCCCCTCTTTCAGAAGCTGGAGACTCCAATGGCAAGAGCCGACATGGGGTGAGCCACATGCAAAAAGGCTGAGGAAGGGGCCACAGCCAGCCTGCCAGAGCGGGCATTGTCCAAACCAGGGGACAGCGCAGTGGGAGGGCACCACTGCTTCTTTCCTCTCCCACCTCCAGTGCAGAAAGTGTCCCAGGTAGAGCAAGGAGGAGAAAGGGTTGAAGAAGGTGATGGACAAAACTCCGCTGTGGTACCCATGCCCACTACACATCCCTGAGAGCCTGAGTTGGGCCAAAGCTGGGAATGGGAGAAATTTTAAACTGAATGAGAAGTTAAAGTTTGCTTTAGATCAGACATAACACTGTTTGTTTTTAACCTAAATGTGGCCAGAAGAACCAAAATACTTGGCTCAGGTTCTGTCCAGGGATGAGGAAGAATGAGTTAATAGAGTGGGTTTACACGGTCAGTGATGAGCGTAATTCAGTGGTTTCCTGCTTTGTACCCTACCAAGTCTGGCTCTTCCAGTAAAATAGACACAGATGTTCACAGATTACTTGATCATTTTATTTCACCAACAGAACAAAGACTGTCAAAGAAAAGGAACAGACATTCCTTCCCTTCTTTTGAACACTCCCTACCCCAGGGCCCAGGCAAGATGGCCCTCTCTTAGCCGCTCTTTGGATTTATTGAAAGCTCACTCCCAGAGCTCTCTTTGGGCTGGAGTCTATTTTTCATTAGCTCTACTTAACGTGAGGACCACAGGTCCCCTCTCCCAGGAACACTATTCCCAAGTGGCACTTCACCATTGCCAAAAGACTATCAACAGCCCTTTCCTCTGGCCCTTCAGAAGACGCCTTCATTGAACCCTCAACACAGAGCCGGACCCCACTTGGGGATACAGAACACCATGGCCCCTGGTTGCCACTGGAGCTCTTCCTGCAAAGAGCAAATTCACCCTAAAGGCTTCCATGCTGTATTATTGTGCTCTTTAAAAAGAATTAAATTCTCAACTCTGAGAAAATGTATTCCTTGACAAGGTGCCGAAAAAGTTTTGTTAGACAACAAATCTAGTCAAGTCGGAAGAGAGAGGCTGTCCTTCTCTGTGACTGTTTGGCCCCTCCTTGGAAACGGGTGTATTCAGAATCTCCCACATGCCTGTGAGTACGATTTTAGGTTTGCCCCTCCCCAGTTTCTGCTTTTAGGTTGTATAGGACTCCACAGAGTTTCACACTTTACACATATTTTCTAATTTCCACTTTTACTTTTATAAATGATTCCCTGGAAGTTTGTCCCCACACCAGTTCATTTCCCTTTCCTTCTTTTTATTACACTTAGCCTTTGTATTTTCCCAGAAGAAAGGCTCCAAATAAATTATTTCTACCTATACTCCTTTAATTTTGAACAAAGTTGCTTAAATGAATGTGGGCATGCCTGTTCCAATTAATCAGCTGGGCTCAGGCAAAGGGAGGCCAGGTTCTTGCTGTGTATTTCCCTCAGCATTAGGTCAAGAGCAAGACATACCTACTACGTAATCACAAAAATTAAAAAAAAATTAAAAAGAGCAGCTGTGACTTTCTGTCCGTTGGTTGGTTCTTCTCTTGACCACTGTCTGGAAAGACATCATCTGCTTTTAGATTGGGCTACATGCACTGTGAGAGAGTCTTTATAATGATTACTCTCTCTCTGCCTCCCTTTGGCTACACACACAAATTTTAGGGCAACACTGAAATAGGCATTGCTTATTGTCTTTCCAACCTACACTGTCAGAAAAAATGAGGTCAGCCAAGATGAGGAAAGTGGTATGATCCAAGATCCAACATTATTAGGTCCTCAGTTTTTGTTATTTTGGAGATAAACTAATGCATATATTAGAGAAATAAGCAAAAGATTTAAGGCCTATGGAAATCAATTGAGTCAAGAGAGATGTTTTTGGAATTGTCTCTTTCTCAGGTGAGGGAAGACAAATTACGATTTCTTCTGTGGCTTTTGAGAGTCTCACGATACTTTTGGCTCTCAGAGTTCTACTAAAAACTTGGTTAACATGACCATCAGTTTTTCTAAAATGCACACACACACATACACACACTCTTAATAAACACTTATTATAGTTGTAATGGAAGGGCCTTTTAAACGAATTAACACCATTTTATTGAGGTACTTAATAATAGGTAAGACCTGTATTTTAAGATTCTGCTCCCAAATGAAGGCACCCTGCCAGGTGATGTAGCAGATAAGATGTGGACAGTATGTCAAGGCCCACATGACACTAATGGGGCAATACATCCGATAGGATATGGTTTGGCTTTGTGTCCCCACGCAAATCTCATCTCGAATTGTAATCCCCAGGTGTTAAGGGAAAGACCTGGTGGGTGGTTGTTGCGGGAAGTCAGGGAACCCGAACAGAGGGAATGGCTGAAACCATGGCAGAAGAACATAAATTGTGAAGATTTCATGGACATTTGTTAGTTCCCCAAATTAATACTTTTATAATTTCTTACTCCTGTCTTTAATCTCTTAATCCTGTCATCCTTATAAGCTGAGGATGTATGTCACCTCAGAACCCTGTGATGATTGTGTTATCTGTACAAATTGTTTGTGAAGCCTGTGTGTTTGAACAATATGAAATCTGGGCACCTTGAACAGGATAACAGCGATTTTCAGGGAGCAAGGGAGATAACCATAAAGTCTGACTGCCTGCTAGGCCGGGCAGAACAGAGTCATATTTCTCTTCTTTCAGAAAGCAAATAGGAGAAATATCACTGAATTCTTTTCTCAGCAAAGAATAACCCTGGGAAAACGAATGCATTCCCAGGGGGAGGTCTCTAAAATGGCCGCTCTGGGAGTGTCTGTCTTATGTCTTATGCAGTTATAGATAAGGGGTGAAATACACCCTGGTCTCCTGCAGCGCTCCCAGGCTTATTAGGATTAGGACATTCCAGCCTGGCGAATTCTAGTCAGACCGATTGTCTGCTCTCGAACCCTGTTTCCTGTTAAGATGTTTGTCAATGACAATGTGTGCCCAGAAGGACATGGACCTTCATCAGTAATTCTAGTTTCACCCTGGCCTTGTGATCTCACTCTGCCTCTCTGCCCTTGTGATATCGTATTGCCTTTGAAGCACGTGATCTCTGTGACCCACACCCTATTCGTACACCCCCTCCCCTTTTTGAGACCCGTAATAAAAACTTGCTGGTTTTGCAGCTCAGGGGGTCATCACGGAACCTGCCGACATGTGACGTCACCCCCGGAGACACAGCTGTAAAATTTCTTGCTTTTGTACTCTTTATTTCTCAGACCAGCCGACACTTAGGGAAAATAGAAAAGAACCTATGTTGAAATACTGGGGGCTGGTTCCCCAGATAGGTGGTGATTAGATCATAGGGACAGTTTCCCCTGTTGCGAAAAGCTGAGTGTTGGGAGAAGCTGAGGCAGGGCTTGCATGTCTGACGTAATGTAAAAGAGTCTTAGAACATGTCCGGGGTCCAGGGTCTTAAACCCCTTGTGGCCTTTGGAACACCAAACTCTGTGCTAAAGGGTGGAAGTCTACCCTGACGCACCATAATCTAAGCCCAGGGCAGAAAACCCCTCGTGGCTTGGATGAAATCCCAGGCTCCTGGCTCTGGAATGTGTCTAGACTTGCTGGCTCCTTGCTTCTAGCCCTCCCAGGCTCCTAGATTGATTGTGTCTTACAGTTGGCCATATAAATGCTAAACCATCACAGCTGTAAATCATGTGATTAATGCAATGCTCCCTTTCGACCCCCCACATTCTCTCCACCTGTTTCATTGTTTGATCAGTAATAAATAGTCCGGGCTTCCAGAACTCAGGGACTTCTCAGCCTCCATACTTAGCGATGGCCCCCTGATCCCACTTTCTCTCTCAAACTGTCTTTTCTCATTCCTTTGACTCCACCTGACTTTGTTGCCCCCATGACCTGATGTTGGGTCCAATTACCCCAGCATTCCCCCATGCTGTTCTCATGAGAGTGAGTGAATTCTCATGAGATGTGATGGTTTTGTAAGGGGCTCTTCCCCCTTTGCTCCCGCTGTCTTTCCTGCCGCCTTGTGAAGAAAGTGCCTGCTTCTCCTTCCACCGTGACTATCCTTCCCAGCCATGGGAAACTGTGAGTCAATTAAATCTCCTTTGTTTATAAATTACCCAGTCTTGGGTAGTATTTTTTATAGCAGTGTGAAAACAGACTAATATGCTGCAGTTCCAATTTTCTGTGCAAAATGGTCCACAGAAGATATTGGTGAGTAAGGTGGGCTATGTTACCCTTGGGAGGCTGTGGAGATGGATTAGGATGGGTGGAGGGAATAAAGGAGACTGCTTCAGCTGTGTGGGTGTGTGGGCTGTGTAGGGATCACAGGCATAAGGTCAAAGAACTGAAATGGAACATGGGCTGTGCAGAGAACGGTGAGTAAGGGTTTGAACAAGTCATGTTAAATAGCATGCGATGTGTAAACATGTCACCACCTCCTTCAACTCACACCAGAAAAACACACTCCTGAATGCCCAGCAGAAGGGTCTCCTAAGCTATGGAAGGAGTAGAGAAATATGTCAGAAACTGATCATATCGGTGAAGAAAACAGACAAACTTCCCTGTACTGGTAAAGGTTAAATTCTAGTTGTGGAGGAGATATTACATAAGCAACAAACTGTATAACTATTATGAATTATATATAATTAATTACTTCACAGTTTTGTCATAAATATAATGAGAAAATTAAAAAACAGATCAAGGTGAGAGCCTAGAAATCTTGAGGAGAGCAGTTGGGAATTTTACACGGGGTGGCCTTCCTGAGAAGAAAAGATTTGGATAAGGATTGGAGGGCGAGGAAAGAATTAGCCCTGCAGGTGTCTGAGAGAGAAAAGCCTTCCAGGTCACCGACATGATCAGTACACAAGTCTAAGGCAAGATCCTATGTGGCCTTTGGAAGTCATAGAAGGTTCCTGAATCAGGTAACAACCAGATTGCAGGTCAGTCTCTCTGCAAGTGTTCTGCATTGTTTATTCCATTTCCTCCCTTCCCCATCCTGCATCTTCAACCTCTTCCTCTCAACTGGATTCTTTCCATTGATGTTAAAACTAGTATATTGAATGTTCTAATGTTTATCCTTCAACCCTATTCCCTTTTCCAGTTTCTGACATAACTCTTCTACTTCCTCCACAGCTAGGTTTCTCAAAGATGTATCTGCTCAAGCTGCTGCTTCTTCCCCAACCCTCAGTCTCTCACCCACTCTTTTCTCTACTAAATCCAGTTTAGCTTCTTGAAACATGATTGAATGTGTCAGTATTTCTCCACTACCCTACTAAAGTTGCTCTTTCAAAAGTTTCCCATGAATTTCATATTTTAAATATGGTGGACACGCCTGCTTTCAATTTACTTGGCCCATCAGAAGCAACTCCTCTATTTCTGAATATTTTTATCCTGGCTTTCACTATATCACACTCTGCTAGTTCTTCTCACCCTCTCAGATCACTACTCCTGGGTTTACTTTGTTTTTCTTCCTCCTCCTCAATCACCAGCAAATGGAGCTCCACAGGGCATAAGCTTGGATTCTCTTTGATTTGTACTCTAAACACTCCACTAGGGCATTATTTCAGCTCCAGTAGCTTTAAATACCATTTCCATCACAGACCTCTTCTCTGAGCCACAGAAAAATACATCCAACTGCCTTTTTGACATCTCCACTTGATATCTGACCGACATCTCAAATAAATGTAGCAGGTCTAAAGCTCAACCCAGAATCATCCTCCTGACAAAACTTATCCCAAATCTATTCTATTTCAGGGCCTTGCATTTCAATAAGTGCTACCTTTAGGCAACTATTTGCTCACATGAGAAATTATGGAGTCATCATTGATACTTCTCACTCGCTCTCATCATCTGTATTTAATCTATTTAAAAAAACACATACTTGATTACTTCTCCAAAACATCTGTTTCATATCTGTCTACTTCACTCCACCTGCACAGCTCTAACCCTATGCCAAGTCACTGTCATCTCCCATCTGATATATTGTGATATCCTTTTTACTTGTCTGTTTTTACCCTTGGCCCCCTTCCATCCATTCTCCACACAGTAACAACTAAAGTCATATTTTTAAAATGCTAAATGCATTACATTCCTTCCTTTGCTTAAGACCCTTCAGTTGCTTGTGAATTCAAAATCCATCACATGGTCTACAGAACCGTTTATGATCTAGCCCCTGTCTATTTCCCCAGCTTGATCTTGAGCCACTCTGTTTGTCACTACATTCAATTTGCTTGTTCTTGTGGTGCATTCTCTCTTTTGTCTTCTTCTCTCTCTTCCCCCACCCCCTTACTCTTCCCCCCCTCCCTCCCTCCCTCCCTCCCTCCCTTCCTTTCTCATTTATTGAAGCACATAGATCTCTTTTCTTACCCAGGAATGATGTATACATTGTTTCCTTTGAATAAAATATAATGTCCCTGTCTTTAATTCCCACAACTCCTTAGCTATCTCCTCATCTGTCAAGTCTTTCTTAAGACTCGTTTAGGACTATCTATTGATGCATAACAAACCATGCCAAAACGTAGTGGCTTAAAACAAAATTCAATTTATTTAATTACAAATCATTAATCTGTGCTGAACTCAGCCAAGTGATTCTTCTGCTGATCATGCAGGTGACTGCTCATGTGTCCGTATTTAGCTGATGAGTCCGCTGGCATGTGAAACCTTTCCCTTTCTATCCTATGCCTTTCCATGTGCTACTTCCACATGGTTTACCGAAGTGGTCTCTCCAGCAAGATAGTAGGACATTTGACATGGCAGTTCAGGGAGCCCAAGAGGGCAAAAGCAGAAGCTGCCAGAACTCTTTAAGGCTAGCATCAGAAGTGGCACATTGTCATGTCTGACATATTCAGTTGGTGAAGGCATGTTGTAGAGACTATACAAGGATGTGGATATGTAGAAATGTGGCTCATTGGAGTCACCAATGTACCTGATTCTTGCAGTACACCCTAATGGAATTAGCTGTTATTTAAGGGGTTGGAAGGTTTACCTAGCCTGACAATATAGAAAGTAACAGGAACAAATTTGAAATTGATTTATTGACTTATTACAGCTTCCATATGGGAGAGAAAAGATAAGGAAATCCAATAATCACAGCATGTGTTTTGATCTTGGGGAATAAAGATTTGATTTGGAGGGAAGAAATGAGTCACTTTATTGTTTTGTTTACCAACTTTTCTACAAAATCTATAAAGTTAGAGATATTGACATTGTACACATAATTAGCAAATGGTCACATTTCCAAAGGAAAGTTTATTCGACTGTTTTCAACTATAATTTAAACAAAGACTAAAATGTTTGATTAAAGATAGTCTCTTAAACATTTTCAACTATGCCTATTAAAATCTTCACTGTAATATTGAGGGATGATCAGTGTCCATTTCTAGGAAACACAAGGTATGTTACTGTCATCATTATAATTATTATTGGTACTGGTGTCTTCATCATTATTATTATCATGCCAGTTAGCAAGAGCAACCAGTGCAACAAGAAGAAAAATAAACCAGCTGGGTGCGGTGGCTCAGGCCTGTAATCCCAATACTTTCGGAGGCCGAGGCTGGCGGATCACCTGAGGTCAGGAGTTCCAGACCAGTCTGGCCAATGTGGTGAAACTGTCTCTACTAAAAATACAAAAAGATTAGCCAGGCGTGGTGGTGCACACCTGTAATCCCAGCTACTAGGGAGGCTGAGGCAGGAGAATCATTTGAACCCGGAGACAGAGGTTGTGGTGAGCTGAGATCATACCATTGCACTCCAGCCTGGGTGACAAAAGTGAAACTCCATCTCAAAATAAAATAAAATAAAATAAAATAAAATAAAATAAAATAAAATAAAATAAAATAAAATAAAATAAAATAAAATAAACCTAAAACTAAAAATAAACAAACAAGCAAACACACAACCCTGCAGTTCTCCTGGAACGGAGTTCAGGTTTCAGCCTCCTTGAGAAAAAATTAAATGCCTCAACAACACATCATGAAGGATGCTTATCTATTGTTCATTCATTCATCCATTCTGTGGCAAGTGGTTTGATGTTAGTTGTGTGCCTGGCACAGTGAAAAACAAGTCTCACATTTGGTGTGAGACATGGAGCCCTATTTACAGATGAGCAGGCTATGGGCTCATTTTCCAAGGAGCTCACTGTCTCTTTTAATTCTTCTGTGACACTTGTCTCGAATCCAACTTTATACAATTAAATAAACCTATCAGAGAAGTATCAAGAATGAAAATATAGAGGGATAAAACCTATTGAGAGGTTTTTTAAAAACAGCTAGATTAATGCTTTATATATTTCAAGTCACAAAAGATTTTGCCATGGGTATTTCGTTCTATTTCTCACAATTTTTATGGAACTCACGAGTTGCTGGGGAAATGCTTAAAGACCAAAAATGCCACTTGTAACTTTCTGTTTTTTTGTTTTCCAAAGCCAGTTTGGCTTCTTGAAACATGATTGTGTCAGAATTTCTGGACAATGTAGAGACATTTAGAGAATTATTAGCATTCTATCGTCACAAGTAGAAATATCTCAAGGTGGTTACTGGACAGCCAATAGGTTAATAAAACAATCTTTGTAAAGAAAACACTATGTTTAAAACAAGTGTCTTTATTAACAGTCTGAACCAAATATTTGATCTAAAGTGGCAAATATGTGAAAAAATGAGTAAGATACATTTCTCTTATATAAACAAATGTTGTGGTGTTATTTCATTATACGTTTGTACTTTATACATATATGACCTTTGAGAACATCCCTTCTTGATTGAAAGGAAAGTACTTATCATGGAAATGTAGATTTCAACTTATTTTTCTTTATTAATCAACACTCATTAAATACTTTACCAATTCATTTCTCTTCTTCAGTACCTGTCTAAAAGAAGGTCCAACTATATTGTGAAATAATAAAGTATGGAGGACAAGGGAAAAACTGCTAACAGGAAATTCCCTTTAAGTCTCACATTTGGTTTTAGTAACACCTCTAAATATCTACAGACACTATCTTTAATCAAACATTTTTATCTGCAAAATTGAACCGGAAATTGCTTGTTAATGCCTAGTTAATAGCCCTTTTCTTTCCTAACAGCTAAGAAAAATCTCATTTCAGAATAGAATTACTAGAAAATGACAATTCTTGGAATTTATGGCTCTTTTCTTAGTTTGTATCCAAACCCATCAAAGTTCTTTCTGATCGAGTTGAATAAAAGTGTGTGCTTTAAAGTCAATCTTACTTCACTCAAGGCATGTATTTAGGCCAGCTTGTACATTATAAAAGGAAAAAGGCATTTTCTTGTCTTCTTTTCCATTTCTTTAATTATGAAAATCAGATTTTTCTTGATTCTGTCAAGAGACAATGCTTCTTTTTCAGTGTGTCAGCTAAAGACACTATATTAAAATGCCATCTAACTCTTACAGAAAATAAATATTTACAAATCACTTGCTGCTTTATTGCATTTTTTAGGCTTTGTATTTCATTTAACTATGTTTTGAAATAAAATCTTACCTAGCAGTTTGAAAAGAGATCACAGAGAGTTTGGATGCTATAAAAAGGCATTTAGTCCATCAGGGATAGGACCAATCAGTGCACATAAAGGCATTTTTTAGATTCAGTGTTAAGAAGAGAAAGTAACATTAAATAGTAACAAGCACACTTCCACCTGTGTATCTTTATGCTTATAAAACACACTTAATTATTCATGGAGGGAAAAAAGTATATTTTTTCTAGTATATTAACCCTGCTGCTAGCCATAAGATACTTATTTTTCTCTTTTCACATCAAGCCTGTAAACCTCTCATTGCTCTGCCTCATAGCAATCCATAAATCACAACCCAGACATTAGGGCTCAAGGTCCGTTCTAAAATAACCAACGGGGTTCTGTCCTGCCATGAAGTTTGCTTTGTGATATATTGTGTGTATAGAAGCTGCTGGTTTGGGATATAACAAATGTGTTTTAGAAAGTTTCCTGTGAACATTCCCTCATGAATCCATTCCTGGTCTTTGTCACATCCAGATATTATAAAAGTTTGCCACAGATAAGTTTAAATTTTTATATGACCTTATAAATGTAAGTCCGAAAGAGTTTATAATGGATTGCAAACTCCTAAGAGAAAAGAGATTATGTTTCCATATGTCTCTGCGTTTCACAATGAGGCAGTGTGGTAAGACTGAAAGGAGATAAGGTTTTGGAATTAGAGTCACATTGACTGGAATCTGAACTGAACCACTGGGTAAGCCACTTGCTTTCCTTGAGCATTAGTTACCTCAAGGGTTAGGCGTTCACTTCTGGCAATATGGCTATCTAGATCTTCTTTAAAACTGTCCTCTACACCAACTACTTTCCACTTATCATCTAGATATTTTCCACTAATCTTGCCCTACATGTCACTCTTCAGTAAAAGTTTCACTAGCTACCCCTTGCTTACTCTAGAGGAAAATTTTTTTCTATACTGCCCTGGGACTCTCTATCTCGTATCTAGAGCAGGGGTTGGCAAACTACAACCTATGGCCCAAGTCTAGACTGTCACCTGTTTTTGGTAAACAAAGTTGTATTAGGACAAAGCCATACTCATCTATTTATGTGTTATCTATGACTGCTTTTGCCCCACCACTGCAGAGATGAGTAGACACAGCAGAGATTGTATGGCTGACATCACCCAAAGTATTTATTATCTGGCTCTTTACAGAAAAAGCTTGTTGTCTCCTGCTTTAGATAATTATTTATTTTTCAATGTTGCACTATGTGTGAGGCTATTTATGAAATGACTCTCCCCTGTTGGGATGTAAGCTCCACTATAAGATGAACCATGTATCTTCTTGATCTTTACTGGTTGGTTCTTCACCACGAATCAAGCACAACATCTGGAATCTAGTTACCGTTCAATAAACATCGAACAAAGTAAATACATATGCAAAAGAATGAATGAATGAACCAATAGGTACATTTATTAAATTTTGAAATTACCCTAGCTATATGGTAATGAGCACAACATAAATTAAAGTGGACAACATTTTCATCCATCATCAGAATATTAATATACAATCACTATAGATATAACCAGTTTAAGTGTTATAAATTACATAATTATACATTCAGCATTGTGTAACCTACACACTACAGCTTGAAGGAGACCTTGTTATGAATGAGCTTTTCATGAAGCTCATACATTATGGACTTTATAAAACATGCATAAATTAAATAACCATTTGTCCCATATTAAACATACTTTGGTGACATATGAATAATATGTAGGCAAAGGGTAAAGAACTAATTATGAGGGAATTACTTATTTTTTATTCAATTACTTTTGGCGTCACCTCTGCTGCGTTTCTGCTTTGTTGTATATTATGGCTTCCCCCTCCCATATCTCTGCTTTGCGTAAACAATATATCAGAAAGCATTTTGCAGTGAATGCCCAGCAGCTCCTGGCCTTGAAGAGCTTATTCGCCTAATTGTGCATCCCTTGTGGATTTTTCATAATACTTTACAGATCTAATTTAAATACTTTTACAAATTCATCAAATACATTCTCCGAGGCACATTTACTCAGCTTACTTTTGAAACTTCTAATGAATTCTCTCGATATGTAATTTTATACTCGGCATCATGATTTGAATTAAATATTATTGAACAAGGTGTTCATTATTGGATGTGAATTATAATTAGAATGATAGGCAACCTTAACTATGATAATAGTTTTAGTCAATTTCCTATGGGACTTCCAGTTTTCAATCCAGTACAAAGACCAATACCCTCTGCTAAAAGTCTGTTATAAGGGTTACAAGTAAATTAAGCAATGTCAGTTTTAGCTGCTTAAAAGCTAGGATTAGCAGATACAATTTAACTCTTAAAAGGCAAATAGCAGGCTGTCATGGTGCTGTAAATCAGCAGTGCAGGACAGCTGACCTGCTTTATACGCAATTTAGCATCCCGAAATTGAGAGATGACCTAGATTTTCCAAGAACCACATGTGAACCTTGCAAATGACTGCTGTACTAGTCGATTTCACATACGCATCAATGCAAGAGACAAATGTGGACTTTTAAAAAAATCTGAGTACCTGATACATATTCTACTAAAAATATGTTCATGTCTTTAATATTAGAGATATATATCTCATATAGATAAACCAAACTTCTTTCATAGTAGTGTTAGTGTGATGGAATTGACATTCTTTTCAAATATTTTAAATGTAGTTATTGCACATACTATGCTAGACGCACATGAATAAACGTGTGAATAAGCAAAAGGGCAAAATCTACTATAATCAGATATCTTTGATTTATTTTTATCCAATGGGTATTTCAACAGAAGGTGATATGAATCTCCAAGACATAGTGTTTTTCAGATCATTGAGGCCAGATTGTGAGGGGGAAACTCCATCTTTCTAAGTACTACTTAAAAAGCAGTTTGTTACAAATGACCTGTCTTGTTATAAATGACCTAGGATGATGCCTTACACATAGCAGTTGTTCATTAAATGCCATTTTCCTTTTCTCTTTGTGAATAATCACACATCGGTCATAATCAGAGGGTATATTAATGTTTCTTCCTTTCTATACTATGTATTTTCATTTATAATGGAATCACCCTGTGTTAAATGTATCCTTGGCCGGGTGCTGTGGCTCACACCTATAATCCCTGCATTTTGGGAGGCTGAGGTGGGTGGATCAACAGAGGTCAAGAGATCGAGACCATCCTGGCCAAAATGGCAAAACCCCGTCTCTACTAAAAAAAGAAAAAAGTAGCCGGATGTGGTGGCGGGCACCTGTGATCCCAGCTACTTGGGAAGCTGAGGCAGGAGAATCGCTTGAACCTGGGAGGCAGAGGTTGCAGTGAGCTGAGATTGCACCATTGCACTCCAGCCTAGGCAACAGAGAGTGAGACTGTCAAAAAAAAAAATAGTATCTTTAACTGGACAACACCTCAAAGCAGTGTTCACTGGAGATGCACTTCAGGAATAAAAAAAAAAAAAGAAAAATGAGCTTCTGTCAATATGCTACTTCACGCTTCTTAAATCAGTATGTTTCACACAACATGCTGGGGACTCTTAGGGGCTCACTACATTGTAGTGGACCTTGGTCATGACATGTGTGTGGCACAGCCTATCAAAATGGTTTTTAAAACTAAAGCTGGGTCAGCTTATTTCGCATCACTTATTTTCTGTATTTTTCCCAATCCATCATCAGCTGTATTCTTTTCCACCATGAGCTTCCCTCTATTAGACACTGTTAAGTCCAACCCAGAATTATGTCTGCCCCTTTCTCTCTTTCATGCCCTATCTTCATGCTCCCCCATCTCTTATAATCTCAATTTTATACCAGAACTCAGATGAAAACAAAATTACTCCCCCCATTTCAACAATATAGAAATGCTCTTTCCTTTTCTCATTCTGGGTGTGCTTGCTTGTATGTCCAAGGCCGCGTGTGTGTACGTGAATGTAGGCTACTGTGTGTGTGAAGAGACTAGACAAGTCCTTTTTGGAGGGAGGAAAATCCAAGACTAGGTAAAAAATGCCCCATAGCCAACAATTGAATAAGCCATACATAGTAATCTTCTAAACTAGTGAGGATTCATTCCTGCGCCCCTTAGCAGTAGATCAGGACATGTTTATCGCTGTTTCTCACATTTAGAGGAAAAAGTTTCCCCCATTTGAAAGATACAGGCTAATTAGCACAGGAAAAAATAGGAAGATTTTCTTTTAGCACATATCATATTAGATACGATGAGTGTGCTTATTTTCCACATTGCTTTTTGTTGAAGCAAGAGAGAGGGACCCAGCATCTGTGACCTGGGTTCATTTCTTTCACTCAGGGCACTGGGGTCTCATATTGGCTCCTGAAGTTAAGAATTTTTCAGAATAGCAAAAACACAAGATGCTTCCATTCTGTCTCTTTTTAAAACTCTGTAAAGAGAGAAAAGAAATTCCGGAAATTCTAGCATAACTCCTGTTGCCTGAGTTACCAGAAAAAATAAAACCTCTGCCTTTCTCTTCACAGCAGGGCCTCCAGATATGTGGCAGACAGCCCTAAAAAAAATTGTTTTAGAACTTATAGAAACATGGCAGACTGAGATGAGGCCGACTTACTCACAATACGTAGACGTTTTAAATAAAATATAATAAACACTTATTTTCTGTACATAGATATAATCAAAGAAAGAATGAAAAATATCTAGGTGCTGAAAATGAAGGAATAAACTCCAAGGCAGAGCTGTAAACATATGAGTTGATGCCTCAGAGGTAAGGGTGCAAATGGTATGGACTCAAATATGGCCCCTACTGGCTGAGAGCTAGATGTTAATGTCCACACAGAGATAAAACTGTTCTCTCTCTGCACCAGACAGGGAGCTGGAAGAAAGACCCCTGCACAAAGCTGAAATCCCTAGAGGTCCCTTAAAGGGAAATAGAAGCTCTCCTCCGTCAGACTCTGGGAAGCATCAGGGAGGACTTTCATCTGCCCTGCCTCTGGCTGGAAATTGAAACCTCAGCTATGCACAGATTAAAATCTACTTTATAGGAACTATGGAGTAATAGATGCTAAATTGATAAATTAAGTTATAAAACTTGTCCCAGATTGGTGAAATCACTGGGATCTTGAGAGCAACAAGTACAGAATTTCTCTGTATACACTTTTACAACTGAAAGAGTATGGGACTTCTACAAGAGAGGGGAAGAAAACCTCACTGGAGATTAGGTCACAAAAACCGTTTAACCATACAGGTAAACAAATCACTACGGGGTACAGTATACCAACACACAGTCAAATGAATTCAAACCTAAGTGAACCTGAGATGGCAGCATAATCCTTTAAGACATACAAAGTATTTGTGCTTCAAGTGACTGCATATACAGAACAATAGACTCAATAAAGACAATTATAAATTTAAATAGGCAAATGTGAAAAAGAAACAATTTATAGATAGGATAAATATTTAAATTCACAATACAATGAATAAGTTTTTAAACACATAAATAGAACTTTGGAGAAAGTAATGAATTCGAAGACAGCTCTGATAAGAGTCCTCAGAATGGAGCCCATTTTGAAAAAGAAATGGAAAATATGAGCTAGAGCCATGTAAGTGAAAGGAAGGGTCCAATGTATATCTAATAAGTGTTCCAGACACAGGCTATTATCAGACTACAGAAAAGTAACATCCTAGGATATATTCGCTGAGAATTTCTTATAACTAAGGGAAAGCTGGATTCCAGGTTTAAAGAAACACACTGATCTATATTAAAATTAATTCTTAGACCTTTTTAATAAAACTGTACATCATTTAAAATGAAGAGAAAATGTTTAAAGCAACCAGAAGTTTAAAGAGGCTACACACAAAGGAATAAAAAAATAACTGACAGCAGACCTATCAACAACAACTACAGAGACCAGAAGACAAAGATATTCAATCTCCAAAAGACTGAGATATTTTAAAAACTCCATAAAACAGAAGGATAGGATCAAAATCAAATCATTTTAAGACCTTTGCCTTGTTGAGGAAAATAATAGAAATAATGATTAACACTTTACTCAAGTCAAGGGAGAAAGTTACAATTTTAAGAGAAACCACTGAAGAGTAATGATAATATTGCTAACTTCCAGAATTAGAAAAAGAGAACTGAATAAATTAAATCAATGAAATAACTGATATACAATAGAAAAGACAAACGAAAAGCACAATAAATAAAAATCTGTAATAAAATGGTAAAATTGGTAATAGAAACAAGTGAAAAAAAGACTATGTCATTTATTTAAGAAACATGTGTTTTGAGGTTGAATTTTTTGAAAAGAAAAACATCAAGGATAATGTTAAAATATATGTTAGCTAAAGGAAACAAACTACAAAACAGTGACACGTGCAAAATCAATCTAAAGACATACACAAAAATATGTGAGAGAAACACCAACTGAAAGAAAAAGGTGCAATGATATTAATAAAAGGCAAACTGACTTATGAAAAAATACATTTTTAGACTAGAGAGAGTCTTTATTGATTATTAAAACAATCAGTTCACAGAGAAAATATAACAATCTAGATCCTAAAAGCAGTGTCTCAACGTCTGTAGAGCCAAAGTTGTCACAAATTGACACAGAAATTGATAAAACCACAAACATAACAATTTAGGAATTTCCAGCTGGTAAATACAGCATAGTAAAAACAAAACTCATGAAGCTATGGAAGGTTTGAACAAAGCTGGCAAATTGAACTACTGAACATACATAGAGTCTTGCAAACAACGTTTAGATGACTCACAGGTTTGTCAAAAGACCATTCACAAACTACCTATATGCATATTTTTTAAAAAGAATCTATATATTTACCAAATAATCTATATTTACCAAAGAATCTCTATATTTACCAAATATTTACAGAGAGATCACACTACTGGGCTGCAGTATGATGGTACTTAAAATCAATACCAAAAAGGAATACCCAAATAATCATTCATATGGAAATTTAAAAATCTCAACTATATAATTCATGGTTCAAAGAATCAACTATAATGAAAATTAAAGAATATATAGAAATGAAATCATTGAATTGCTGCATATCAAAAATCACAGAAATGCAGCTAAAGAAAATTTATAGCTCATAATTCACCCAATAAAAGTATGATAGATTGAAAATTACCAAGCCACAAATTCACGTGTAAAGGAAGGTTGATAATAAAAACCAAACTCATGAGAGTAGAGGAGAATACCAACCAATAAGATCATAATTTTTTTTAAAATTTGGGAAAGCACAGAAAAATAGAGAGCAAATAAGTAAAAGGAAAAACTACATATATAAAAATACTGTTTTATTAGAGAAACATTTTGACATATTTATGGAAACTAAATAGAAATAAAACAAAATCGAGCTTCTTAGGAAATGCCAAGAGGTCAAAATTATTGATTTGGTAGAAATGAATAAACACTGAATAAATAGCATAAATAATTTTATCCCAATAATTAAAACTTAGAGAAAATAAACAACGTTTTAGAAAAAGATATTTTATTTACTGAATTTAAAAAATAACTATAATATTCAAGAACTACAACTATTACTGTAGTTGAACCATTTCTGAATATTTCTAAACCAAAGGCATATCTACATAATTAGAAAAATTTCAAAAACCAGATGATATACATCTTTTGCACATTATTGCAGAGAATAAAAAGGCAGAATTACTCAACTCTGTTTTTGAATCTGAAATAATGTCATATATCAGCCAAGAACATTCGAGCAAAGGAAAATTATTAGTAATGGCTTTAAAAATTCTGATTAGCAAGTGAAATAAAAAAGATATTAAACTTATGCTACCACAAAGTAAAGATTTTCCCAGAAACTCAAGAACTCTTTGACATTCAAAAATATATTAATGCATGCAAACACATTAACAGATAAAAGGAGAGAAACATGCAATCATCTACAGAGATGCAGATAAAAAATGTTTATAATGTTAATGATTTCCATATTAACCGTTAGTAAACAAGGAAAATAAATAAGCTTTTAAAATTTGTTACAGGGAGTCCAGCAAAAGTCAATATGAAAATCATGATAAATGGAGATGATTTTAGAATATCTACTGTTAACTCTGTTTAATATTGGGTTAGAAATAATATATATTTGTAGTAAGTCAAGAAAATATATGCTATGAGGATAAAATGCAAGAAAAATATTTATTAATTACAGTTTATATGATTATCTTTAATGAAAGTCCAAGAAAATCTATACTGTCTACTAATAATAGAGTTTAGTGCAGTTCTCAGGCATAAAACCATTCCTTTAGACCAAGAAAAACCCAATAGATAATTTACTATGAAAATCTCATTAGCAAGAGTGGAAAGCCTTCTAAAATAAGCAGGAATCAATTTTAAAATAAGAGGTAAGCAATAGTTACAAAGCAATAGATGATTATGAAAAGCATAAAAAGAGAAAACTTTTATATTGGATGAGAGGGCCATTACTGTTTATAATTAACATAAGTGCAATAAAAAATTTAACTGTGTGTGTGTGTGTGTGTGCAGATGTGACTGGTCAAGCTGATCCTAAAACTCATCCTTGGAAAATATAATCAGGAAAATACTGTAAAAGAGGGGGGAAAAGCAATTGTCAGCTTTACATGTATTTTCTGATTTTGTCTGTGCTTGAATTGTTTCATTATTTAAAATTTCAATTATAAGAATATATTAACTGAAATCTGTGGAATTGGTAAAAGATTAGAAAAAATAGACCAAAAGAACAGATCCAAGGGCTTAGAAACATATCCATATGTGTATGGAAAGTTGGTTTATGGCAGAAATGGAACTGCATGGCCAGCAGAGAAGAACAACCGTTCAGTAAGTAACTCTAAAACCTTGCTCATCCATACAAAAACAGTAAAATTTGATCCCCATTTCACAAAATACATAAAAATGAATTTCAAATATCTTAGCAGATGCCATGGGTACCCCATCCATATTCCCTTGGCATCAGATTTCAATCCATGCCAATGCATCCTATTCAAGCACCTGGACTCTGCCTGTGGGCTTTTGTTCACCTAACTGGGCCAGACCAGAAGTGCCTGGAAGTTAATACCCCTGAGAGCAGCCCTCAGCCAATGACAGATGGACGTGAGGCATTCCATTTTCTGCCCCTCAGGAAGGATAACTCTGATTCTACACTTTTCTTCCAGGATTTCCCAGAGAGATTGAACCTCAGTGGCCCACAGCGATAACCGGCTTGATAATGCCTCTTTCATAGGTTTCTTTCCTTTCCTTGTTTAGCATTCTCATTTCCCTATAAGTGTTTTCTGGCTTCAGCTCCCACATAAACTTATTTTAATCTAATCATTGCCTCAGGCATTGCTTTTAGGAGAATCCAACCTAAAACAGGTAGATTAAAGATTACAAAGAGTTATAATACTTTCTGAAGAAATAAGACAAAATATAGTATTGTGGGTGGGAATGAGTTTGTTAACTAGATATAAAAGGAATTGTTAACTAGATATAAAAGGAATTGTTAACTAGACATGAAAGGAAATACTTATAAACTTAGTCAAATTTGTAAATTAAATAAGTATAATTGAAAATATATATTTAAAATTACAAAGGTAAAAAACATCTAAACACAGAAGATATTTTCTACACACATAACTAAGAAATAAATACAGAAAAACAGATTAGAATATATAAATCAGCAGGAAAACCAATCATCACATAGAAAAATTGGCAAAGGATATGAGCAGGCAATTCATAGAAAGGGCTTACAATCTAGAGATGAAAATATAAATGTCTCATTTTTTCAGGTAGGCCTACTGAAATTTAGAGGGGTAAAATAATTTCCACAAGGTCACACAGCTAGTAAACGGCAGAGGAAGCATTCACACCTAGATATATTTAAATCCTAAGCTTATACCTGTTCTACTCACTTCATTATAGATTGTTAAATGTCTTCCCATTTCTTCTGCAACTTCAAGAGTGTCCAAGCTGAGAGATTAGGTTATATACTTAGGATTCAAGCAATCATACAAGGTATTTTTCTCCCTCAATCTTCCTACTTATGAAAAATCTTAGGGATTATAATTATTCAGAACAAAAGTTGGTCATCTGTACTAACAAAGAAGCATGACTAAATGGAATTAAACAATGGTTCCCAAGTGACATTTAAAGTCAATATTTTAAGTGTTTTTGAACCTCCTGAACATTTCTCAAAAGATTTTCAAGTAAAAGAATCATTCATTCAAATTACATCCTTTTTTCTTATCTTGGGTATTTCTTGGGATGATGACAACCACCCAAACAAATACAAGGTAGGGGACATGCAGAAGTCAAAGGCTCAACAATCCAGAAATCTTCTATCAAATTCAATAAGAGCTGATGGTTGCTTGGTTTTTAAAGAGCAGAATCTTACTAAAATTATAGGTCAGATCCATTTAATTCAACAAATACTAAATCATGTTCTGTATATAAACATGTGTAAGAGTTATTACTGGTCTAGAGGAAAACTCCTTACATATTTTTTATTTTGAGTTCTGGGATATATGCACAGAATGTGCAGGTTTATTACATAGCTATACATGTGCCATGGTGGTTTGCTGCACCTATCAACCCATTATCTAGGTTTTAAGCCCCACATGCATTAGGTATTTGTCGTAATGCTCTCCCTTCCCTTGTTCCCACCGGCCCCCACAGGCCCCGGTGTATGAGGTTCCCCTCCCTGTGTCCATGTGATAGTTAGACAATATAATAAAAACATATTTTATTTGAAATAAAAAATTAAATAGAGTACATTTAATAAGAAATGTACATAGCTTATTTAATAAAACTTACAAGGACATACAAGGTAAAGTTTAAAAAGCTATTAGTAATGAGAAGACATCCCTTGTCATGTGATAAAAAAATTGAATATGTTAACATGTTGATTCTCCCAAAATTAATCCATAAATTTAACAAAATCTCTTTAAAGTAAAAAAAAAGAAAAAAAAAGATGTATAAGAGGTAGTTCCCAATCCCCAATGTTTCTTATTTGCTAAGCCAGTAGTTAGAATAAGACAAGCGCACAATAACTATAGGAAATGGTAAAGCACGAGAATTATCAAATGAATGCATAAATCACATGTTTTTACGGTTTAGAGGACGAGCTTTTCATTTTGCTACTGATGTGGTATTTTTTCAAGAATAAAATTCAGATATTCATACAGTGTTGCTGCAATCAGGTATGTTAAATACAGGCCATCATCAACAAGCAAAAAAAAAATCTGACCCATACAAAATCCACGCAGTGGTATAGCCTACAGCCACTGGAAATATTATATCAATGTAATTGGTTGACCTGAAGAATTATGAATTTCACATTAAAACTCATACTGCCTTTCTGCTATGTTAATGAACATGTGTTTTCCACAGTGCAGAGGTCTATGGCAAACCCCAAACTTGAGGTTAACACTTTCATCTGTGAAACAGTAACTCACTTCTCCCTCTGCAAAAGAGATACCTGCAATAAGTCAGTGTACTTGGTGATGGCTTATTGCTTTAGTTAATTCTTGACCCAATCTCTTCTACTTTTAATTTATGCATTTCTTAATCCAATCAATGTTTACTGAGTATCTACTATATGCCAAGCTCCATTCTAAGTGCTAGATAGAATGTGTAGAAGAATAGAATAGAATAGAATAGAATAGAATAGAATAGAATAGAATAGAATAGAATAGAATAGAATAGGAATGTTTTCTTCATGGGGTATATAGTATGTTATATCATCAGATAAATGTATCTAATTACACATTGGTATATTCAGTAACGGAAAAAGACAAAATACTATGAAAAGGGACAATGGTGATTTATCATACATTAGATATTTAGAAGATGCCTGAGAAATATCCAACTATTAACAAAAAAGTAAGACAGATTGGTCCAAGCAAATGATGCACCAGGGCGTGTGTGAAGGTATGGAGGCAGAGGGGCTCTTGAATAGAGTTTGGGAAGGGTGAGGTATAAAAGGAAGGAAGTATGGCTGGATGACAGGGCAGGTCAGCGGGGGTCACCTATGAAAGCCTTGCAATCAGGTTCTAACTTACTCTAAGTGCAATCAAAAGCCAAGAAAAGATTTTAATCAGGAACATGATCAGCTAAAAGAGATCCTTCCATAGTGGGTGGATAGTGGGTTGGAGGGAAGCTGGAATTGAAGTGAGAAGCTGAATTAGAAAATCACAATAGTTCATGGAAGAGAGGGTGGTGTGTTAGCTTGGGGTAGTAGCAGTAGACATGGAGAAGAAAACAAATGACGGATTTGGCAACAAATAATTTGGAAATGGAATTGACTGGACATCACATTAGAAGTTCTAATGAAAGTGAGACTCAAGAATGGCTTAAGCCATTTTCTAAGAATATGGCATCGTCTAATCCTCATACAATTTTAGTCCAATATAAACACTTTTTAATTAGAAATAGGCTACACATTTATTATGATCCTTACTCTACCATTTTTCTTGAATCAGCAGTAAGCCATGTTAACAATGCTAATGACAACTTTCTGAACTTTCTCTATGAGACCATAATCAAACTCTTTTGCCTTGCTGTGTCTGTGGTGAGGCTTCTTCCTGATTCTCTCCTAAGAGGTCACTCCAGGCAACGTTCTCTCTCTCTTCCTACTTTCCAAGGCTCCTTGCCTTCCATACTCCACCTTCTAGTGCTTTTCTCTCTTTACTGCACCTTCTAGTGCTTACTCTACATGTAGTTCTCAGTGGGGTGGCCATCAAATCAGCCTAAATCTAAAGCGAGGCCTCTTCACAGTAATTTTTGAATAACTAATAATCAGTTTCAGAAATACTTTTGCTGTTAGCCCCCAATAGACTCTTTAAATTCTATTGTTTAATAACAGAGCTTTAAGCCAATCAGATACTAAGTTTAAAAAATCCTTCTTTCAATACCAATTACATTTCTAACTTTCTCTCAATGCATTTCCTTTATTCATCCGTTTTACTGAGACTGGCCCTGACATCAAGTGTTCAATAATTCACACAAAATATTTTTTTGCCATTTACTTTCCTGGTGGATGTATTGAATGGCTATTCTGTCAGCATATAATCCCTCATTTTCATATTCTTGATTGAGTAATTATGTTAGACTTCCCCCAATAAAATGCATTTGATGTCTTCTGCTAAAATCACTTAAACAGTGGATTGGTTTCACGTTCTGCACCTGAGACCTCCCTTCTCCCTCTAGGAAAAAGCATGTTAGCCACAGTCTTGAATATTTATTTTAAATTTCTCATATGCTTATATGCCAAGTGCCCTAAGTCTTTTATTGCCTAATTTTTGTTCCCTAGCCAATCAGTAATATTTAATATATCCCTGACATTTTACCTGAAAAGTATTTATTATATCCCAGACTTTTTTCCTGAAAGAATGGGTCAGTTGCTTGAGGTTGGTAATTTGTCTGAAATCCTAATTAACTGTATTTACTTAAAAAGTTTATTTACGGCCGGGCATGGTGGCTCATGCCTATAATCCCAGCACTTTGGTAGGCCGAGGCGAGTAGAACATGATGTCAGGAGATCAAGATGATCCTGGCTAAACGGTGAAACCCTGTCTCTACTAAAACAAAAAAATACAAAAAACTAGCTGGATGTGGTGGTACAAGCCTGTAGTCCCAGCTACTTGGGAGGCTGAGGCAGGAGAATCGCTTGAACCCTGGAGGCGGAGGTTGCAGTGAGCTGAGATAGCGCAACTGCACTCCAACCTGGGAGACAGAGTGAGACTCCAACTCCAAAAAAAAAAAAAAAATGTTTATTTTTATTTACTTGATTGGTGATTCTACTTACATAAACATGTAAAGCTATTTAAATAAGTGAAATATAAAGAACAGATTCTGAAACAAGTTCAACCATTTTATTAACTCATAAACTGCCATGCTTTTAAATTATAAGAGTTTTTAAAAATTATAACTGAAATATCCTTCTTTCCTAGAAATGACCTAGCAACTTTTAACAAGTCTATAAACACCGTATCAATCAGCAAAGCAGGTTGTTCTGTTGGGAAAACAATCTTGATGAATCTTTCATAGCATTTTCAAAATTGGAGTTCATTAAGACCACCAGTTAAAAATATCAGTGTACATGCCTGTGAAGTCATGTTTACAGAGTTTGGAAAGGGACCTACAAATCCATCTTTATAACAACCTTTCCAAGAGATTCTTCACACCAACATTTGGGAACCATTGATTTAGACTATGCCACTGGACAGATGTAAAATGACCCTGTAATAAGTCACTAGAAACAAAGTAGGATTGATTCATTAACTCAAGAGAGGATTATGCTGCCAATGCCAAGGAGATTTCTACATAAATCACATTTTTCTATATTCCAGCCCTTGTAGCAAAACAGAAAGAGAACCTGTGGAATTATAGTAAAAATAAAAATCTTGTAAAAACCAACTCAAGAGTTATCTTAAAATTTTTGGAATACAGCATCAAAAACTGAATTACACATACTTATTTCATCAAAAAGATTAAAACATGGAATCTCCAATGATAGCTGCCTCTTGAAACCAAATGGCATTGTCTGTGATGGCGTGAAATTCCCCATCATTTAAAGAAGGACAGAGCCACAGAGCCGCTTGCTGAGAATATTGCCTGTAATTCTACCTCTCTCCTTGCCCAGGTTTCATTATTGTGTAATCAAAAACATATCAAGTTATTCCACTGATGTTTCTTTTCTATTTTTCTGAAATTTTCCTTTTCTTGTACAGGGTGATGAGCAAAATTCTAAGTGCAATCTCACTACATCTGGGAACCACACTTTCATAGAAGAAAAAGAACAATTCCCCGCAATGAAATAGCTCCCTTTTCCCTATGTGTATTTGGAAGTAGCAATTTATTTGAAGGAGACTGGGGGTAACTACAGGTATTCTTTTGAGCCTTAAAATTTGAGAGTTATCACCTACACTCAAAATGATAGCACCAACTTATGTAGAAGGACCAATCCGATGCACAATATATGCTTAATAAATGTTTGCAGAATTAATGGATCAGTGAACGAGATTTGATAGAAATCTATGAATTACAAAAATAAGATGAAGTTATAACTACATAAATATGAAAACAAGAAAAGCATATTTAAAGATCACAAGTCCCCAAAGCATTTGTGTATTAACTCAATGTGAGGAAAATGATAAGGGGGCAAAATTAAATTGCTTTTAGTCGAATGGCAAAAAACAAAAGTCACAGATAAAACGCAAACCGAAGTAAGTTGGTTTCTGGTAAAGTTGAAAATTTACGTCCTGAATTTGAGACAGTGAGGTGGAAATACAAAGCTGAAGCTTATGGAAAGGTCAGAGTTGGAGAAAAACATTTAAAATTTGTGTTTAAGTTTAATGTTTGTGTCCCCTGCAATTCATATGTTGAAAACTAATCCCCAATGTGAAAGTATCTGGAGGCGGGGCCTTTGGCAAGGGAACAGCCTTCATGAATGGGATTAGTGCCTTTATAAAGGAGATCCCAGAGAGCTCTCTTGTCCCTTCTGACATGTGAAAACACAGCAAGAAGAGGGCCCTCTGAGAACCAGGAGATGGGCCTTCGCTAGACACCAAGTCTGCTGTCACCTTGATCTTGGACTGTGCAGACTCAAGAACTGTAAGAAATATATGTTTGCCATTTATAAGCCACCCAGTCAATGGCAATTTTGTGATAGCAGCTTACATGGACTAAGACATGTATTAATACATGAGAACCTGCCATGTGCAAGATGCTGTGTTAAGCAGATTCATCAACCCTCTTCATTATGTAAACCTTTGAACTGTGCCTATTTTTCTCCCCATTTTATATGTAAGAAACGGAGGCTTGCTCAGGGTCATGTGGTGATTAGAACACACATATCACACACGGGCAGTTAAGAATTTCCTTCTGAACATTTTTAAATAGCCAACGTAAAACAAGTCTGTTTGACACCAATGTCCATTCTTCATCGATTTTTCCACACCAACACTCTTCCACTGCTTTTCTGGTAGAATATTTTGCAGAGTGGAGTTCAATAGAGTCCAGTGAAGAGACAACTGGCTCTCAGGAGGCCAGGGTTTGGTTCTGTGTGAGCACCTTACAGGGGGCAACACCTTTCTAACATATATTCCACTGATAATTATGCCATGTGAATTGCTGGGAAATAAACATGAGTAACTAGAGGTTCTCTAAGTTTGTAGAAAAAAGGATCATAGTACAAATTCAAGGTAATTAATGCTTGTTTCATGTGCATTTTTTTGCATTAAAAATAAATAAACCAAGGAGAGCTAATTTAATTATCTCTGTGGTCCCAGCATCCAAGATCTATGAAAAGGAGGGAGGGAGAGTTAATCCCATTTTCTGCTTTCCAAAGTCATATAAATTTTAATGTGATTTCCTACAGGGAAACACTATTTAGAATATATTGAATATGTCTCTCTGAAAAAGCTTTCCTCTGTGTTTTCCTTTCACCGACTCCACTTAGCACTCCTACACTCTCTTTCAGAGTTTTTGTATCATTCTGTGTTTGGATTTTAAAAGCTATACTGTTCCTCAATATTTAAATTTTCTCCTTGTCCATTGTATTTCTTTAATACATAAAAATTTCTTCTATGTTTGGAAAACTTCCACCTTATACCTGAATATGTCATTAATAATATATTCTCAGAAATACAATTATGTTCGAGAATTATTTTTTAATTAAAATGCATTGAGCAACAATTCTATGTACATAAACGGAAACAAGAAAATTTCAAAGTCTATGATTCAGATAATAACAACAGTAGGCCAAGTGTCCTATAGCCCAGATCTGTTATAAAATATCTTTTAATATCTAGTGTTGTCAAAGATATTGGGAAAGTAGCACTCACATCCACCGTAAGTGTGAACTTCAATGAGAAGAGTCACACTACTTGGAGAACAATCTGACACTACTCACCCACATCACCTTGAAAACGTGCATATTATTTGACCAGGTAACTCCACTTGTAGAAATCTACTTAATTATTATTCTAAATATATAAAGATACGTGTACTCAGATTTCCACTAGAGAACATTTTAAAATAGCAAAATATCCACAAGAACCACTGAATAAAATATGGTCGTGTAAAATATGTAATGGAAAAGAATCTCATAAGTAAGGAAGATCAAATTAGATGAAACAGTATACACAATATATTGGAAAGTGAAAAAAAGCAAATTAGAGCATACACTGTACAGTATATTAAAAATTAGATCAGTACATGTTTGTGTGAGCGTATGTGTATACAGTTATGTCCCACAGAGTGACAGTTTCTCTCTCTTGGTGACAGAGCATGGATAATTACAACTGCAGAGGGGATCGACCTCATTGTGTTTGTTGAGAGGGCATGTTCCAGTGACTCTGTGTTACATTTCTGTTGCCATGACACAATAGTACACTGTCATATTTTCTCTGGTTTTTTTTATCAAAATACTGAATTTTCCAAAAGAGAGTATGAGAACACTACTCATGTATTTTATTCAGAATTGAAAAGTAATCAAATCACTTCTGAACCTTGCATATTTCATACCATGTAGAAATTGTTACATAGAAAAATATTGTAAAATGGCCATCAGCCTTATAAACAGCTTACTTCTACAAATTTTGATGTAGATTTGTCTACATTGAAGAACTTACTTGATACCATGATTTTCTATTGGTATATGCACATGTAGACATATGATTTGACAACAAATACATTATCCTAATACATTTCCCACTTTTCATTGATTATCTCACTTCTGGACCAGGGCCATGAATCTAGGGCTATTTATTAGTTTTAACTGATCGATTGACTCTTAGTTACTTAAAAGCTACATCTTGCTAGCTGTTGCTTTTTAAGTCAGGTAATGATAACTTAACTTTGCAAATAAAGCTTGCAAAGAAGGCAATGAGAAAAATGGTTTTTAATAAGAAGGCTCAAGCTTTTAAAAGATACAGTTCAATATAATTACAGCATGCAATTACAAAATGTCTACTTCATGAAACTGAATAGATTCCCTATCATCCCATTAATGTGGTTGTAACGCAGACTTAAAGTAGGGTTGATATTGAAGATTTAACAAGGGTTCTCACACCAAATCAGCCACAGACTATCTTTTTAAAAATGGAACCAAGAATAAATGCCTTTGTAATTTTGCTTTTGTTTTTCTGCTGCAGTTTCTACATCATTAAGAGTTTCTAGGCAGGTGGTATTATTGTCTCATGCTGGAGGCTTTTAAAGATTTCTTTCTAGAACAGCATCACACCTGGCAACTGCTGGGAGCTGGGTTATGACTTCCAGTTTTTATTCTCATTACTTCAGGTCTAATAGGACAACTAATAGGTCAGGTGGGATATTTGAAATGTAATTTTTTTAAATTGCTTTAAGTACTTCTGACCAAAACCCATTAACCTTCATACATCACTACCAGAAAAACAGGAAAAGACTCTTCAGAGGCTTGGCCATCCTGTGCCAGCCAAGTGCCCCAGCCCTGTGTGGTATACCTGGTGGATCTGTGATAATGAGGAAAATGCCCTTTGTGGATGCTCACATTTCCAGATTAGCAAGCGAGAGAATAACTTGATTGAAAAGGCAAGCATATTTTTCTTTGCTTTTTTTTTTAACAAATTAAGTTTATATCTGGTTTAATTAGCTTACGTAATAAAAAGATTTGAGGTTATTTTTGTCACAATTTTCAATTATCTCAGTTTATGAAGTAAATAGTTCTGGTTGAAATTCTAAAAGTAAGCATAATTATTTCAGCAAATACGAATGTGAGATATAAACATATGTGAATAGGATAATTTGCATATGTGTCATATCCTTTGGTAGAAATTAATATATACATGTGACAGACATGAAAATCTGTACCTTGTTACAAAGTACCTAGGAAGGTGAAATTATTCTCTGTCCTTTCTTGAAGTCTCCTAAATGAAGACACTGAAGCTCCACCCTCATCTCATTTACTGCCCTTCTTACCTTAGCCCCAGTCACTATTTGGGTGAAGGTTCTGAACTAATTCATGGTAATCACATTATAGATAGAGACATGGTGATCTTTGATGATTAGCTAACAAAGAAAAGACTTAATTCAAACATATAAGAAACAGAATGTAAAGTGTCCAATTATACGTAACTTTGAAAGTTTTACTAATTTTTCCTTGCATGGCAAATAACCTCAAAGTCTAAAGTGGCAATATTCTAACTAAAGCAATTTATATACTGAAAATTTTGTGTGGAAACAAAACGTAGACCTCTAAATTATACATTATGATTTTTAAAATATTGGTGTGATCCTCAGTCTTTTGAATTGAACCTGCTGCCTAACATAAGCTTCTTTAATTAGCTAAGTAGATTTGCAGTCTCTCTTTTATTGGGAGAATTCCAATTTTATGTCAGTTGGAACACTGCCTGTATCTAAAATCATTTGAAATAGCTAAGTTAGTCTCAAAAATATTAATAGATACTCTAATACTGCATGCATTATTAATACTGCCTAATGCTACATGCCGTACTTAATACTTTTTGTGAACAATTAATGAATATTCATAAAACTGAATTGATATGGATAAACATGGATAAGGATCCTGTAAATGGATAGTGCCACCTCTAAAATAAATGTACTAAACATTAAAATTAGAATAAATATTTTTATCATAAACTACATTGACATAATATTTTTTAAGTCAAAGAACACTTTAAAACTTTGTAGCTGCAAGGTAATCTCTTAGTATTTAGTATAAATATGTATAACTGCTGATGAAAGAGAGTTCCAATATAAATAATGAAAGGGATTCCATATTTATTTTCAGTAGCACCAAATTGATTTTAAAATTTCAGGTTAAGTAATGAGAAGCAACAAGACTTTTTAAGAATAGGGGCTGTACACTGATATGCCAAATTATTCTGTTTCAGTAATTTTCAAATAGCTTAATTTTTTAAACCATGACAAATTCCTGTGATTAAGCTGACATGCTTAACTGGACAATTAAATGTTTTTCTCTGCAATATGGAATGCCTCCTTTTCAAGAGAAATCTTGGTATCTGCATATAGCACGATATTTAAAAAAAAAAAAAAATGAAAAAAGCACAGACTAACTACTAACTCAAAGACTAACCTTACCCTAAATATAGTATTTGTTTGCCAGGTGAGTATTGGATTTTAACCAATATGAAACCAGGTTCTAGTGAAATTCTAGTATTTTAAAATAGTTGCTATTTAAACAGTTTTGTGGAATTGGTTGAATTTTTTAACTGGGCATAATGGTAATAAATTAAATATCACCCTAAAATGTAAAGATAATGTCTCAAACCATATATGAAGATTTTCAAGGTAAATATAAAGATTGATTATTTAAGCTTTGTTGGTGTCTCCCAATACCAAGGCTACACCTGCTCTTCCGAAACAAGCGGGAGGCATCCCACTATTATGTTTACCAAGAAACACTAATTCTTTAAAGTTTTTTTTTTTGTAATCAAATGTGTTAGCGTCCAGTGGCGTTAAGAGAAAGGATGTCATGTAAGTCCTCTTTTGTAGATTCATAAGGCCAAAACCATGAGTCCTGAGAAATCCACTAATAAAAACAAAACAAATCCCTAAAACAAAACAAACAAACAAACAAAAAACAAGCAAATAAATAACCCCCATAAAATCTGCTCACATCATATGTTTTACCACAATTCCCAAATTTTTGACTAGATACAGTATCTGCTAGCTAACAGTTCAATATTTTGGGCAATACGATTCACAAATAATTTTTGAAAACTCTACAATCCGTTTCTAAAGCTTGCTGACATTTATTTCCTGTCTCATGAAAAAGGCTTATTTGCCTTTGCTTTCTTTGATGCCATCCAGAATCCATACCCTGAGCATGTTACACATGGTTCATGGAACTATCCTTTCCTACATCTGTTTCAGTGCCGCAGACTTGAAGTCATCGTCCAGGCACGCACCTAGCTTCATGTGTATAAAGCGCTATTTTGCACAGCTCCTTCATTTTCAAAGACTTTCACAAATGTAGAAGCAAATACAAATGTGCAAATCTGGGAACTCTAGACATCGGCAACCCAACCCCTTCTTAGTATTTTAATTCACTGGCTCCCACACTAAAGCCCTGCTCTGGTAAACTGAGACCACACCCTATGCCTTCTTCAAGCTCCTGCACCTTTGCTAATCCCACCATGTTTCCTGGCATGGGTGGTTTGTTCCCATCTATTTCACCAGGTCTGTGTCTTTTCCTCAAGTTCTCTCTGTTTCCCATCTATTTCACCAGGTCTGTGTCTTTTCCTCAAGTTCTCTCTATTTCCCATCTATTTCACCAGGTCTGTGTCTTTTCCTCAAGTTCTCTCTATTTCCCATCTATTTCACCAGGTCTGTGTCTTTTCCTCAAGCTCTATTTAAGGAAGCCTCACTAGTTATTTAAGCTTGGGGTGCTCTCTCCTTCCTCTTTATTCTACTAGTCCTTACACACATTGCCACTACCCTTAACTGTTTCTCTCAATTATCCATGAATATGTGCTGACTATTGCTAGCTCTTCATTTGTATGCCTTTGTTCTGCCAGTCACATCACTTGAGACCAGAAACATTACTTTTTTAAGAGAGGATGGTATCAAACATGATACCATATATACGGCAGACACCTAATAAATGTAGACTGCTACTTACACTATTCATTTATTTATTCAATCACTTATTCCTTGAGACAGTTAAACCCAATATTTATTGTCTGTTTTTTTTTTTTTTTTTTTTTTTTTGCCAAGGGTCAGCACACTTTACTTTAATGGCACAGCAAGTGCTCAAGCTCTAGTCTTCTGTTAATCTTGCTGAAAGATATGGCATAGCCTGCTGTTGCAGAGAGGAAGGAGAAGTGGTAGCAAGCAGGTAAGTGTTTTGAAGGGATGAGGGCAACAGCTACTAAAGAAAAATATGCGAGACAGATGCAGTAGCAGCCTTCAGCCTGTGCACAGAGTGTGGATCACAATTCTCCAATTCTCTGCTAACAGTCATCATGTATTAATTGTTGACCAAATGAGACTCCAACTTTCCAGCTAATTTAGATAAGAAACTGGAATTCAGATGCAAATCTGTTGCAAACTATGCTATCATTCTATAATGACTTAATGTTCTGCAAATGATTTTACATGTATTATTTTAAAAAATTTTTATTTACATCAACAAATCAGAAGGAACAAGGGTATATGCTTGGTGCAATCTTCCAGTGAAGAACCTAAAGGAGAGTCTAATAAAAGAGAAGAGAGTCTAATGTAAGTCTTCTTCACTGGAAGAACCTAAAATACAACCTTGCTATAATTAGACTCTCTATCTAGTGCCGGTTTCCTTTGAACAGGTTTATGCAGACCCGCATTGTTGGGGTGAACTCCATCAAGCTCAAGGCTACATTTATCTAGTCTATGGAAGCTATATCTTATTGAACAGCAGTCAGGCAATCTAAAGACTTAATGGACATTCGCCAGGTGCCCACTGTGTATTTGTAGGGATGCTTGGGAACCCATAGGATGTGCCTCAATGAGTTATAAATTTTAACAGACTGAGATGGCATTTGAAATCCATTCTTCTGGTTATGCTATGCTTTGAAGAACAAGGAGAATGTTCTTCAAACAATGCAGGCTAAAACAAATCTGCATGTGTGTGTTTCTTTAAAGGTAATAACAATAATAATAATACGAGAGCAGGGCTGGGAGTCAGAGACACTAGTTTACAAACACCAGTTTACTGAAGCTGCTTCATACTAATAACTAAGTTCCAAAATGATTCAAACAGAAATGGAATGCTGAACAATTAAGATTCTCTCCCCCTAAGCCCATCTCTATCATTTTATTAAAGGCTACTGGGAAAACCCTTATTGAATAACTAATTCTAAATTATATTTGATGAAAACAAATTAATGTAATAATTTTCTTTCTGAAATTAATTTAAATCTCTGTGGATGCTGCAACAAATTTAGTCTTTACTATGCATACAAAAAGTTATGAAAAGCCTTATTGCACTCACTGCTTTAGGCAAAGATTCATTGTTTCACAATCACTGGTAATGGCCATTATTTCAATTTAGCAAATGTGCTTTCATCAATCGTTTTTGCCTATTTGCTTAAATATTTAAAATTACTTTGTATTTTGTCAGTAAAGATGGCACACTTGCTGAGATGCTATTGGTTACAATGTGCATTGTTTCCGAAAGCCCGAATTTTATTTCTAGAAATTCTTTCCCCTGTATATTTTTTCTCCAACTTTATTCTTGCCATTGAATTCAATCACAGGAAACACAATCTTCATGCATATTGTGAGGTTCAAGTGTTGTTTTTAGTGATAAGTGCAAAATGAATCATTTGCATTTATAATATGGCTATTTCATTTAAGTGACTACCCATTTTGCTTTAGAAATATTTTGAATTTCTGTTTGATTGTCTACACTACAATTGTCCTTTTCTTCCAGTTAATCAAAATAATGCAATTAGTAGGATTTAAAAATATATTCAATAAAAAGCACTTTTTCAGAGTTAAAAATCCATTTATATTTCATCTAACAATAACACAGTAATATGTAAAAATACAAAATAAACTGGAAAAATTAATTAAAAAGTCACGAATATCTTTGATGGTGTGAGAAAAGGAACCATTAGAAATAAATATATTTGAATGTTAATTTCAGGGAAGAGGGGAATGCCTTGTGGCCGGGACAGTGGCCCTAACAGTCATGTGTCCTATAAATATATACTCAAGGTGGGGCCTTATAGCTGGGGAAGAGAAGAGTGGCCCCCCTCAACTCAACAAACTCAGGACAACTTGTACAACCGCAAGTTAAGTCCTTCAAGCTCTCTTGTTCTCTGTTTACAAGTCCCTGAAATATTCTATTGAAAAGACCACAGATGAGCCTAATTTCAGATAAAGATAAAGGCATGCATGACCTTCATTAGGATCTGGGATGCAGTACTGCACCTGTCCCCTCTAGGTAGAGAGGGTGCCAGTGATCCCATTGAGATCCCAAACAGGGACAATTTTTTCCAACTTTTAAAAGCAGTTGGACCAGAGGAATGGCCTTTACCCAGAGATGGAGACAGTCTACTGCAAAGTCCTGTGAATACAGGTCCTCAAAACCTGCCCTGTTGAGGATGTGTGAGGGGCCCCACCTCACAAAGGCAAGCTTCTCCTAGCTTTCCCCTGTTACTTTTGCCGCCATTGACACAGGTGACCTCAACTGACCATAGGCCCCCAAAAATGTGTGGAACAAGCACTGCTTACATGCTTCTTTCCTCCCTCCCTCCCCTGTCTCTTTCTTTCCTCCTTTCTTCCTGAAAATTCTACACACTTGTGATCCCAGATTTGGGCTATGATCACACTGAAGCCATAAAGATCCATTTAGTGTCAAAAAGA
Organism: Homo sapiens; assembly: GCF_000001405.40. Taxonomy (NCBI): domain Eukaryota; kingdom Metazoa; phylum Chordata; class Mammalia; order Primates; family Hominidae; genus Homo; species Homo sapiens. The sequence goes on along the minus strand of NC_000004.12, from coordinate 181,099,516 downwards.
ACACGTGACATATTCAGAAAGGGGTAAGAAGGAAGATCAGGGAGGTTTTTTAACAGCACCCTATCGCTCACCATTATATGCTGTTATTTACTCAATTTCATTCTACCTTTTTTCTCTCTTTTCTTCTCTCTTTCTTTCTTTCTTTCCATTGATGTTCCTTTTTACTTAGCCTCCCATTTTTCTTTTCTGGTTCTGATCATAAAATCAAACACTGTGAGCTGGTTTTGTGTAGGCCCATTGTGTCAACAGAAAGGGAGAAAAATGTCTGGCTTCTGACCTGACCCCACAGTAAGCAGGAAAAAGTTAATATAGTATTCAAAATATCCAGTTTTCCTAAGAGAATAATTTAAGCATGAAACCTAAAGGAGAAGGAAATTCAAAACAAGTATAAAACATTATGTTAAAATAGAAAAAATAGGTTGAGATTCAAAGATTGAGTGAGTCATTGGAAAATGCTATAAATATGTACTTTATGGTTAGTATGGTAAAAAACAACACATTAAATAAATCCATGTCATTTAATCTATGTTTTGCATTTGTAGTAATCAACACTGTATAACTAATTCGATTTACCCAAAGGGACATTTTCTAGATCTAGATATAGCCCATCATGTAAATGAAATTCTTATAAATTTGCCTTGCTTTGTGTTAAGTGGTAATGCATAGAGGACATTCATTTTAGTGTATGAGTGTGATTGGAACTTTATCCAAATGTTCAACAGCTGTCTATATGACTTTACTTTTAAAAGTTTCTGACCTACGTGCCCTAATTCAGAACTCAGAATAGCTTGCAAATCACTATTGAGATAAAAATGTAAGCTTCTGTAGATGGATGGATGGATGGATAGATAATACTATTCTGCACATGATATAATGTTAATTTTATTTGAGGAAGGTCTGAATGAGAAAAAATTAGTATATTTTATGTATTCTAGCTGTGAGTGCTTTCTTCAGTTTCCTGGATACTGATGAAATTATGAGTTCATTTTGTGAACCTGCATTTATATTTGATGGATATCCGGAAACTACCATAGCGTCTCCTGCTTTAGAGTGCTAATGGTGGCACTGGACACACGCTGGGCTTGTGTCTAGACTCTAGGGGTGTTCAGCATGTTATCTGAGGCATTGACCTTCCTAGGCCTCAGCTTCATTTTCTACAGCCTGATAATCACTTCCCTTCACCTGCTTAAAGAGCTGTTCATAAAGGTTAAAATATGATGGAATTAGTGTGCTTTCATAAAATCAACGGTGCAAAAAAAAGCATTTCTTTTTAATTTACTATAGCTTATTTATATATCTGGCATGTTTTCACTGTAATTACAGGGAGCTTGCAAATGAAATAAATACTGATACATCGTGATTTTCTCAGTGACATGAGAAATGTCCTATACATTTTGAAAAAAATTAATGTTCCCAAATTGAAAGAAAACGATGTAGTCTAAATAAACTCCCTGATCATCATGATAAAGAATTTAATTCCCACACAGGCTCCAGTAAACTCTATCAAAACAACAGGGACATTTACTATTATTATTATCATTATGATTATCATTATGGTTCAGGTAATTGATGAAATGTTTTGTCACTGGTCATATACTAATGATAATTTAGTCAATTGAAATATATATATAAAATAATTAATATGAATGTATAATTTTATAATATGATAGACTATTCATGTGTTAGGAAAAAATCATTGTATTATATATTTTATATTCTGATATGTAATTCTTCTAAATATTTTTAAATGGCATAATATAACCAAAGGATACAGTTGAAACATTCTAGGTAACATTTCCAAACCCATACTTTGTGGCACAGTTTTTGAGACATTATCTTTGTGGTATTTTACTGTATTGTCAGCACTTGGACAACGGTCATTGGAGAGGACTGGCCCTAGTCCCACAAGAGAGACACAGCCCCTAGACAGAAATGATCACACTTGGATGTGTCACTTATAATACCACAAAGAATTCAAGAGTCTAGACATGACGGGAGTATTTGATAAATGTAGCTCATTTCCTTAGTCAATCTAGACTAACTTTAGAAGACGATTTTAGATGTAATGAAATTGTAAACTCTTCATACTAAGGCTGAATTGTAAATTTTTCTTAGTAGTCTTGATCTGTCGCCAGATAGAAAGTGGATTTTTTTTTTTTTTGGAAATCAACAAAACTGTTAAAAAGCTCAACTGAGAAATAATCACACTGAACTATGGAGAGCTGTGTGCAAGATACATTATGCTTATGGTGGTGTGTGGAGGTGAGGATACTGATACAGACAGAAAACACTCACAGGCCCTCTTTCATCTAGGGGACATTTATATCCATTAAACTCTCAAGGCGACTGATGAGAAGTAATATTTTTGTTAACAATCAGTTCTAAAGTTATTCCTAACTATGAAATGAACCAATTTACAACTCGGTATATCTCAGTAATGACTATGTGCTTATTTAACCATAAAATCTATAAAACACACCCACAGATACAAGCAATTCAGCTGCAATAAAGCCCTAGAAATTAACAGAGGTAGTCGATGGAGTAAGGCTGAACTGGATCCCATTCTGATTCAGGTTAATACTGCACCCATCTATCTGCAAAGTAACTTTTTCAGGCTCTCTTTCAATTATCTCTCAGTGAAAGGGGACAAATTCCCTTGCCTTCAACCTTGGCTTTAATGACAGCATTAATTTGGATTCTCAGTACATTGGTTACATTGTGTTGGTTGATTAGACAATAATGCACAGAGTCACTTCATCAACCAAAGTTAATATTCTTTGTATATTTAATTAGATTTGAGAAGAAAAGAAAAAGCAGGTAGAAAGTGTTAGATTTACTCCAAAAATAGTTTCACACCTGGCCTAGATAAAATGTGGATAGGGAATAAATTGTTGATGGAGTGTACTGTGGAGAGGTTGGATCATTAAGGTATGCTAGTGAACACTGTATTTCCAGGCTTACAATTTTATGTTACACCATGGTAAAGCCGTGACACTGAAGAAGTTCCTTTAATTGTAGATTATTACAGTTTTACTCACGATAGACACTTAGATGAATAGCCCATTGAGACAACCCAAGGATACTCTCAGAGATTTCATGAATACATATGAAATAAATTACAAAAAAAAATGACACAAGGTAGAATTTGGAAAATGATGATGACTATTTTAGTAATACAATATTTAAACCGTGGGTTTTAAAAGTTAATTTTTTACATGATTGTGTTCTTTTGTCATCTGAAATGCCATAAACAGAGTTTTTAATGAGCAATATCCAAGTGAAAGTGTGAAGGTGTTGCTTACCAACCCTCCAGCCACTGTAGACACTGCTCACGTTGCAGAGTAAAATTAATCAATTAAATGCTGTTTGATCTGATATAAAATAACACCAACTTCTCATTAAATGTCGCCAAAGCTAAAAATAAAACTTCCTTTCCTCTAAGGTATCACTGTGCTACGGTAGATGTTACAGACTCAGCTCCGTAGAGAGGAATTTTCTGATCTCCCTATCACAGGGTTTCTACAGGATGGGCCTCTTGTGCAGAGCATTTCAGTTTGAGGTTTGCTTTCTTCTACATGAAACCTCACAACTGAATTTGATCACCCACACTGGCTTTTGTTTTGCTTGACACTTAGTTGTCATAAAATTAATATTTTAAGTAGTAGTTTCTTTTGAACCATATAAACTTATTTTCTGGGAGAAAAGGTCAAAATTATTTCAAGGAACTCATTAATAACATGTCAGGTACATGAGAGCCTTTACCTCATTTCTTCTTAAAAGCCAATGGTCCATTTATCAGCTGAACACTGACAGCTTCTATTATTTCAAAATGTTTCCCAAAGTGTTGTTACTAATACTATTACCACACTACTACTTCATAATTTCCACAAAATACAGAAAAATACTACTTGAGAACTTAATCTATAAGTACTTTTCAAAATGTTTACATGTAGTAGGACCTTCAATTCTCTTCAATTCTCACAAGAATATTATGAGGTTAAGACTATCCAAGGAAGTCAAATTGTCCCTGTTTGCAGATGACATCATTGTATATCTAGAAAACCCCATCATCTCAGCCCAAAATCTCCTTAAGCTGATAAGCAACTTCAGCAGTCTCAGGATACAAAATCAATGTGCAAAAATCACAAGCATTCTTATACACCAATAACAGACAGAGAGCCAAATCATGAGTGAACTCCCATTCACAATTGCTTCAAAGAGAATAAAATACCCAGGAATCCAACTTACAAGGGACGTGAAAGACCTCTTCAAGGAGAACTACAAACTACTGCTCAATGAAATAAAAGAGGATACAAACAAATGGAAGAACATTCCATGCTCATGGGTAGGAAGAATCAATATCGTGAAAATGGCCAAACTGCCCAAGGTCATTTATAGATTCAATGCCGTCCCCATCATGCTACCAATGACTTTCTTCACAGAATTGGAAAAAACTACTTTAAAGTTCATTTGGAACCAAAAAAGAGCCCGCATTGCCAAGTCAATCCTAAGCCAAAAGAACAAAGCTGGAGGCATCACACTACCTGACTTCAAACTATACTACAAGGCTACAGTAACCAAAACAGCATGGTACTGGTACCAAAACAGAGATATAGACCAATGGAACAGAACAGAGCCCTCAGAAATAATGCCGCATATCTACAACCATCTGATCTTCGACAAACCTGACAAAAACAAGCAATGCGGAAAGGATTCTCTATTTAATAAATGCTGCCGGGAAAACTGGCTAGCCATATATAGAAAGCTGAAACTGGATCCCTTCCTTATGCCTTATACAAAAATTAATTCAAGATGGATTAAAGACTTAAATGTTAGACCTAAAACTATAAAAACCCTAGAAGAAAACCTAGGCAATACCATTCAGGACATAGGCATGGGCAAGGACTTCATGTCTAAAACACCAAAAGCAATGGCAACAAAAGCCAAAATTGACAAACGGGATCTAATTAAACTAAAGAGCTTCTGCACAGCAAAAGAAATTACCATCAGAGTGAATAGGCAACCTACAAAATGGGAGAAAATTTTTGCAATCTACTCATATGACAAAGGGCTAATATCCAGAATCTACAATGAACTCAAACAAATTTAGAAGAAAAAAACAAACAACCCCATCGAAAAGTGGTTGAAGGATATGAACAGACACTTCTCAAAAGAAGACATTTATGCAGCCAAAAGACACATGAAAAAATGCTCATCATCACTGGCCATCAGAGAACTGCAAATCAAAGCCACAATGAGATACCATCTCACACCAGTTAGAATGGCAATCATTAAAAAGTCAAGAAACAACAGGTGCTGGAGAGGATGTGGAGAAATAGGAACACTTTCACACTGTTGGTGGGACTGTAAACTAGTTCAACCATTGTGGAAGTCAGTGTGGCGATTCCTCAGGGATCTAGAACTAGAAATAGTATTTGACCCAGCAATCCCATTACTGGGTATATACCCAAAGGATTATAAATCATGCTGCTATAAAGACATATGCACACATGTTTATTGCGGCACTATTCACAATAGCAAAGACTTGGAACCAACCCAAATGTCCAACAATGATAGACTGGATTAAGAAAATGTGGCACATATACACCATGGAATACTATGCAGCCATAAAAAATGATGAGTTCATGTCCTTTGTAGGGACAAGGATGAAGCTGGAAACCATCATTCTCAGCAAACTTTCGCAAGGGCAAAAAACCAAACACCGCATGTTCTCACTCATAGGTGGGAATTGAACAGTGAGAACACATGGACACAGGAAGGGGAACATCACATACTGGGGTCTGTTGTGGGGTGGGGGGAGGGGGGAGGGATAGCATTTGGAGATATACCTAATGTTAAATGACAAGTTACTGGGTGCAGCACATCAGCATGGCATATGTATACATATGTAACTAACCTGCACGTTGTGCACATGTACCCTAAAACTTAAAGTATAATAATAAAAAAAAGACTATCATCTACATTTTACAGACGAAAAAACACATATACACTATGGAATACTATGCAGCCATAAAAAATGATGAGTTCATGTCCTTTGTAGGGACATGGATGAAGCTGGAAACCATCATTCTCAGCAAATTTTCACAAGGGCAAAATGCTAAGTCACTTGCATGCAGTCAGTACTTGCCAGAGCTGTCAGGACAATCAAGTCTTATTACTTTGCATGGGCACTCTTCATACCTAAGCCACCAGGACATTCATAAACTACAAAATAATTTGTATATGTAAACAGAAAATACAATGGATTATTTAAATATTAAAACTGAAAAAATGCACAATAAAAAACTTATGACCTAAACAACATACTATCATAGAGCAGGTTATATGTGATCATTGCCATCTTATTACATTAACAAAAAATGAGCACAGGCGTACCTTGCTTTCCTGAACTTCGCAGATACCCCGTTGTTTACAAATTGAAGGTTTGTGGCAATCTTGCATCCAGCAAGTCTATCAGGGCTGCTTTTCCAACAACACGTGCTCACTCTGCGTCTCTGTGTTATATTTTGGTAATTCTTGCACGATTTCAAGTGTTTTCATTATTATTATGTCTGTTATGGTGGTTTGTGATCAGTGATCTTTGATGTTGCTGTTGTAATTGTTATGAGGCACCATGAACTGCTTCCATATAAGACAGCAAACTTCATCAACAAATGTGTGTGTTGTGACTGCCCCCCTGACTGGCCATTCCTCCATCTCCCTCTACTCCAACCTGTCTATTTCCTGAGACACAATAATATTGAAATTGGCCGGGCACAGTGTTTTATGCCTGTAATCCCAGCACTTTGGGAGGCCGAGGCAGGCAGATCACAAGGTCAAGAGATTGAGACCATCCTGGCCAACATGGTGAAACCCCATCTCTACTAAAAATAAAAAAATTAGCTGGGTGTGGTGGCACGCACCTGTAGTCCCAGCTACTCAGGAGGCTGAGGCAGGAGAATCACTTGAACCCGGGAGGTGGAGGTTGCAGTAAGCCGAGATCATGGCACTGCCCTCCAGCCCTGGGTGACAGAGCAAGACTCCGTCTCAAAAAAAAAAAAAATGAAATTAACTAATTAATAACTCTACAATGACTCCTAAGTGTTTAAGTACAAGAAACAGTTGCATGTGCCTCACTTTGAATCAAGAGTTTGGAATGATTAAGCTTAGTGAGGAAGGCATGTCAAAAGCTAGATAATTTGAAAGCTAGGCTTCTTGCACCAGTTAGCCAAGTTGTGAATGCAAATAAAAAATTTTTGAAATAAATTAAAAGTACTACTCCAGTGAAAATATGAATAATATAGTGAAACACCTTTATTGCTGATGAGAAAGTTTAAGTGGTCAGGACGGAAGATCAAACCAGCCTCAACATTCCGCTAAGCTGAAGCCTAATCCAGAGCAAGGTCCTAACTCTCTTAATTCTATGTAGGCTGAGAGAGGGAAGGAGAGTTGGAAAGTAGCAGAAGTTAGTTCATGGGACATAAGAAAAAGAGCCTTCTCCTTAACATAAAAGTGCAAGGTGAAGCAACAGGTGCTGATGTTAGAAACTAGCATTTTATCCAGAAAATCTAGCTAAGAGCACTGATGAAGGTGATGATACTAAACAACCGATGTTCAATGTAGATGAAAAAGCCTTATATTGAAGACAACACCGTCTAGGCCTTCTGTAGCTAGAGAGGAGAAGTCAACGCCTGATTTAAAGCTTCAAAGTACAGGCTGGCTCTCTTGTTAGGGGCTGACACAGTTGGTGACTGTATTTATTTTTGAGACAGAATCTCGTTCTGTCAGTCAGGCTTGAGTGCAGTGGTAAGATCTCAGCTCACTGCAACCTCCGCCTCCCAGGTTCAAGTGATTCTCCTGCCTCAGCCTCCCTAGTAGCTGGGACTACAGGTGCATGCCACCACTCCTGGCTAATTTTTGTATTTTTAGTAGAGATGGGGTTTTGCCATGTTGGCCAGGCTGGTCTCGAACTCCTGACCTCAGGTGATCCACCCACCTCGGCCTCCCAAAATGCTGGGATTACAGGCGTGAGCCACCACGCCTGGCCAGTTGGTGACTTTAAAGTGAAGCTAATGCTCAGATCATGCTAAAATCCCAGAGCCTTTAATAATTATGCTAAATCTACTCTGTTTGTGCTCTATAAATGGACGAACAAAGCCTGGATAATAGCATATCTATTTACAGCATAGTTTACTGAATATTTTAAGCCCAATGTTGAAACCTTCTACTCAGAAAAATACAATCCTTTCCAAACATTACTGCTCATTGACAATGAACCTGATGGAGATATACAAGGACATTAGTATTATTCTCATGCCTGCTAATACAACATTCATCTGCAGCCCATGGACCAAAGAATAATTTTGACTTTCAAGTCTTCCAATGTAAGAAATACATTTCTTAAAGCTATAGCTTCCACGCATAGTGATTCCTCTGATAGATGTTGGCAAAGTAAATTGAAACAATCTGGAAAGGATTCACCATTGTAGATGCCATTAAAAATATTCATGATTCATGGGAGGAAGTCAAAATATGAACATTAACAGGTGTTTGGAAGAAATTGTTTCCAACCCTCCTAGACGACTTTGAGGGGTTCAAGACTTCAGCGGAGGAAGTTACTGCAGATATGATGGGAACAGCGAGAGAACTAAAATTAGAAGTGGAGCCTGAAGATGTGACTGAATTGCTGCAATCTCATGATCAAACTTGAACAGGCGAGAAGTTGCTTCTTATGGATGAGCAAAGAAAGTGGTTTCTTGAGATGGAATCTATTCCTGGTGAAGACGGTTACATTGTTGGGATGACAGCAAGGATTTAGAACATTATTTAAGCTTAGTTGTTAAAGCAGAGGCAGCATTTGAAAGGATCGATTCCAGTTTTTAAAGAAGTGCTACTGTGGGTAAAATGCTATCAAACAGCATCTCATGGTACAGAGAAATCTTCCACGAAAGGAAGAGTCAACTGATGTGACAAACCTCATTGTTGTCTTATTTTAAGACATTGCCGCAGCCACCCCAACCTTGAGCAGCACCACTGCGATCGGTCAGCAGCCATCAACATGAAGGCGAGACCTTCCACCGGCAAAAAGATTACCACTTGCTGAAGGCTTAGGTGACTGTTAGCATTTTTTAGCAATAAAGTATTTTTGATTAAGGTATATAATGTATACTGTTATATTTAGAAATAATGCGATTGCATACTTAATAGACTGCAGTATAGTGTAAACATAACTTTTATATGCACTGGTAAACCAAAAAAACTCATGTGACTTGCTTTATTTCGATACTCACTTTATTGTAGTGGTCTGAAACCAAACGACCAATAGCTCCCAAGTAAACCTGTATTTAGCTGAGGCCCCAAAAAGTGAAACTATTTTCATACTCTCAAATATTTAATTAGTAGAAGGAACAATATTAAACCCTCACTCTCAATGATTAATTTATCTTCATTGAATTGTATTACTATTATTAATATGTTTCAGGAAATTTAATTCATCACCAGTAAGTTTTGATCATGTGTGACAAGCAGCCTCTAAATGGCTCCCAGTGATCCCTGTCTCTTGCTATTCATGCCTTTATATAATCTCCCCCTGGGCGTGAACTGGGTTTATTCACTCATTTCTAATAAAATACGGTAGAAGTGATGGAATGTCATTTCCAATATTATATTGATAAAGGACCATGGTTCCCATTTTACGTATGCATTCTCTCTCTGTCTGTCTCTCTCTCTCTCGTATGCATTCTCTCTCTCTGGTATGCATTTTCTTTCTTTCTTTTTTTTTTTTTTTTTTTTTTTGAGACGGAGTTTTGCTCTGTCGCCCAGGCCGGACTGCAGTGGCGCTATCTCGGCTCACTGCAAGCTCCGCCTCCCAGGTTCACGCCATTCTCCTGGCTCAGCTTCCCGAGTAGCTGGGACTACAGGCGCCCGCCACCACAACTGGCTAATTGTTTGTATTTTTAGTAGAGATGGGGTTTCACTGTGTTAGCCAAGATGGTCTCGATCTCCTGACCTCGTGATCCGCCCACCTCGGCCTCTCAAAGTGCTGGGATTATAGGCGTGAGCCATCGCGCCCGGCCCCTCTCTTTCTCTCTCTGTGGTATACATTCTCTCTCTCTCTCTGGTATGCATCTGTCTCTCTCTCTCTCTCAGGTATGCATTCTCTCTCTTATTCTCTCTCTCATATGCATTCTCTCTCTCTCTCTTTTAGGTATGCATATTCTCTCTCTCATTCTCTCTCTCTTAGGTATGCATTCTTCTCTCTCTCTATCGCCCCCCCCCCCCCCCCCCGCAACTCTGGAGGAAGCCAGATGTCATGTCGTGACTAGCCCTATGGGAAGACTCACATAGCAAGGAATGATTCCCATCCCACACACCTATTACCGAGTGTGAACCTGAAGGTGACCAATAGGCATGAGGTGGGCATGGAAGAGGATCCTCTCCTGTTCAAACCTTGAGATGACTGCAGCCCTGGCCAACACTTTGATTGCAGCCTCACAAGAATTTTGAGCCAGAAAAACACAGCTAAGCTACATCCAGATTCCTGACTCACAGAAACCAAGTTTTGGCATCATTTTTTAAAATGTAGCAATATAGAACTAATACACCATGCATATATTTCAAGTATAGTATAGAGACAGGCACAGAAACATAAACCAAGTGCAAATACACTTAAAACGGCACGCAGTCTAGAATAGAATATTACTACACAAAAGCCAACACAAATTTTTATCTCAAACGATTTCAACTCCTGCCAAATCAGACCAAAAATAATCTTTATTTCAAAATTAGGTCTAATGAAAGATTAATACACAAAAAGTGCTCTTCAAGAAGATGGCACAATGCTTAAAGGAGAGGTTCCATTTTTCACAACTTGTAAACAGCCGAACTCCCCCCACCAATGAAAGAATAAATTCCTTCCTACAACATTCAAAAATTGGCCAAGTACATGTTCCTGCCTTTATAAAAATATAGCCAGGGTTAAAGAAGTATGTTTTGTACAATTCAATATAGGCTGCACTCTTCTCCTACAGTAAATGTGATATGATTGTCTTGTTACATTGAATAAATATATTTAGTTGGCAAGATATTTTGATAATGACTCATTGCTCCCACCCCAACAAAATTAATCGCTATTTATTTATTTTATTTACTTATTTATTTTTGAGACAGGGTCTTGCTCTGTCACCCAGGCCGCTGTGCAGTGGTGCGATCTCGGCTCACTGCAACCTCCACCTCTTGAGTTCAAACAATTCTCCTGCCTCAGCCTCCTTAGTAGCTGGGACCACAGGTGTGTGCCACCATGCCCAGCTAATTTCTGTATTTTTAGTAGAGATGGGTTTTCACCATGTTGGCCAGGCTGGTCACGAACTGACCTCAGGTGATCCATCCACCTCAACCTCCCAAAGTGCTGGGATTACAGGTGTGAGCCACTGCAGCCAGCCAATCCCTAATAATTTGTGCTATATATCTCTTTTCACTGTTATTATGAATCCAGCACCATTTTTTTTTAGATCATCATTTGCTTTTAACATTTAACACTCAAGGCAGAAATATAAGGTAGATCTCTGTAAACTGAATGAAGTCTAAAAGCTGCTTGTTCAATCCTTAACATTTCTTACCATGCTTGTAGCTTCATAAACAGACAATAGATTTTATCCCTAGGTATTGTCATCCAAAAATTACTGTATTCTAAGTAATTTAAAAAAAAACAAACCATGGTAAAAGTTTTCGCCAATATCCTAGACAAATAACATTTCAGAGGAAGTGATAAGTATTTATCCACAGAATCTAAGTGTGACTTTTTGGGAATTTTGTTGGTAAAGTTCAACATATGTTTTGAGCTGAAGTTATGAAGAAATCCTGTTATTCTTGATCAAGGTTATTACTAGACAAGACTTTTTAAATAAAACATTTTTTTCTTCTATAAAATTATAGTAATAATATGGAGATAGTTTAGTGAATGTGATGAAACAGTTTTTGATCCATTTACATTTTGTCTGCTGGAGTCTAGAGTCCTGCACTTTCAAGATGCCTGGCCAGGGTCCGAGTGCAGTTGGCGGTCAGGAATTGCACAGCAAATTGGCTCAGAATGTCGTTGCAATCTCAGACACCATCCAAACAGGGGAACATTACACGTGTATCTGGTTCTTTAACTTTACAGACTGAAATCCTTAAAATGAGAATGGTAATTGTTTCTTAAGATCATCTTTTAGATCACCTTATAGAAGGAAGAGATAATGGCAATGTGCTTAAGAGAATGACCAAGGAATGTACCCTCAATGAGAAGACATCAGTATGTGGAAAGAGTAACTTTTAACACATCTTAAAACTGAATGTAATGGTATCGATATGAAGAACAGGGAACACTTAAAATAATGTAAATATGGCCGGGCGCGGTGGCTCACGCCTGTAATCCCAGCACTTTGGGAGGCCGAGGTGGGCAGATCACGAGGTCAGGAGATCGAGACCATCCTGGATAACACGGTGAAATCCCATCTCTACTAAAAATACAAAAAACTAGCCGGGCATGTTGGCGGGCGCCTGTAGTCCCAGCTACTCAGGAGGCTGAGGCAGGAGAATGGCGTGAACCCAGGAGGGGGAGCTTGCAGTGAGCTGAGATCACACCATGGCGCTCCAGCCTGGGCGACAGAGCTACACTCCCTCTCAAAAAAAAAAAAAAAAAAAAAAAAAAAAAAAAAAAAAAAAAAAAGTAGATACAACTACTTTTCTATAAACTATGAGGGAATGCATAAAGTTGATTATGGGAAACCTACATTGCATGTGAGTACACAAGAGTATTGAGATCTGCGATAAGTTAAAAACCAAAAAACAAGTTAAACCAAAGATAAATATTTTATTGCTTCTTGAGCAATTTAAAAAAAATAACCTGGTAACGATATTTCAAACTTATCCATTTTATTATTTTATGTATTTATTTTTGAGATGGAGTCTAACTGTGTCACCCAGGCTGGAGTGCAGTGGTGTGATCTAGGTTCACTGCATCCTCCACCTCCTGGGTTCAAGTGATTCTCCTGCTGCAGCTGGGATTACAGGCATCCACCACCACAACTGCCTAACTTTTATATTTTTCGTAGAGACAGGGTTTCACCATGTTGGTCAGGCTGGTCTCGAACTCCTGACCTCAAGTGATCTGCCCGCCTCAGCCTTCCAAAGTGTTGGGATTACAGGTGTGAGCCACCGTGCCCGGCCTCAACCTTATCAGTTTTAAAATTCAGAATTCAGCTATTTATATGACCAGCTAAATCTGTAATAAAAGCCAATTATTGTAGAAGGCAACAACAAAGGAATTTATTTGGTTTCTAATATAGTATGTGATTCTAAAATCTTGTTGGGTGAGTGGTGCTGCTGTGCCTTAACATTAGCAATAAATAGAGACAATTTCATTTTGGGATATTTTTAACTATGCTGTCATGATGTTGATATTATTCTTTAAATATGCACTTCTTAGGACAGGGAGGTTATTTTTGCAGCTTCCTCTAAATTTTTCTTTACTCTTGGAAAATAAGCATTATTTATACATAAAATGTTAAACAACATTCACCAATAAAAGAATGTTTTATAATTATCATTCACTAATCCATTACTTCTTCAGGATCATATATTATATCCGTGCAAGATTTTTGAGGATCTCTTAGTAGTATGGCGCATGCTTATTCTTTTAACAGGCTGCTTAATGATTTGCAGTCATATCACAGAATGCCAGTTCTCGGAAGTTTGTAATAACAGAGCAGATGGCCCTAATTATGTAAGTAACATGCAGCAAGCATTCAAAAGGAATCCAGAATACTTCCTATACAGCATATATATGTGTGTGTGCATGCAGAAAATAGTGTAGAAAAATATATGTACATATATAAATGTACCTATGTCATATATATGTAAATAAGTGCAATAAATACACATACACACTTACATACACATATTTGCTCTAGACTGTTTTCTGTGTAACAAATCCTTCAGGTTTGAAATATATTAACTAGAGCAGTATGCTCTGTAATGTAGGAATAGATTGCAAAAATAATTTTTTAAACTTAGTATTCCCCTGTTTGAATGGTGCTCTGATATCTTGGAGTACCACATCAAAAGAGAAAGGAAGTCTTATTTGCATTCTTTCTATAGCTAATCATTTACCATTTTAGGAGAAGACAATGTCATAAACTTAATACACATTTTCATTTCCCAGTTAATTATTTAATACACACTTCCATTTCCCAATTTTGTAGAATGAAAACACTTGAACCATTTGAAATTAACTTTTACTCCAAGATCCTTTTCTTGCAAAAGCTATTGTTAATACTGTTTGTAATGAATGTATTACATTTTATACTATCTCTGGATTTTAAACTGTAATCACTCAAAAATTGACTCCCACATACTCACTCTAGCAGCCCCAAAATATTTTAAAGAATGATATTTTTTAATTAAAGCAAACGAAGAGACACAAAATCACAGAGTGGCACATCCTACTGCAATCAGGCACTTAACAGTTTGACTTCAGTTTCTCCTACTTAAACCCTGTTCCTGCAAGTAGTATCCCCAAATGCCCAGTACAATGAGGAGATTATTTAAATTTGTAACAGATGAATCAAGCACTGAAGAAGCTGTATAAAATAATATTCAAATTGTAATTTATATGTATTTAAAACAGCTTAAGGTGTATTAAGGTGTATGGTATAAACTACAATAAATGTTAATAAATTATTAATGGTGCATTCTGACAAGAATTAAAGATGGGCTTGATTCAAATAGAATTCCTGCAGGGGAAAATATGCACATTTTATTTTATGATTTAAATTCTGTAGAGAACACAGTTTGATATGCAACACTTCAGAGAATTACAAACTCTAGAAACAATCAACTTTCATCCTAAATGATAGAAATTAATACAGATGTTATTTTCAATTAAATTTGAAGCATTTTATAGGCAGAAAAAATAATTATGGAAATTATGAACCTTAAAATACTTGTAATCCACAGAAGATGATGTTTTAAATTGCAATCAACCTGTCATAGTAATTTCCCTCTTTAAAAATATATGTTAAGAAAGCAATTTTGGTTCAGAAAGTCAGTTTTCAGCTCTTTGTAATTTTTTTTTCCAAATTAAAGCTTGTAAGATTGATGATTTACAGGTCAAAATGTGAAGGTTCATAAAATACTCAAACTCTTTGGGGAAGAATTAAAGCAACACAACTGAATAAAAAGTTAAGGAAAGAAATAGTTAACACCGCAGAAAGCAAATAGTTGGCTAGACAAGAAAATTAAAAACATACACGCCTATCAGTGGTGAACTATGACATTCTTACTCATAGAGAACATCAAAATGCTGTGTTATCATAGACTTCATGTGGAAATGCACTTATTTACCATGTGGATTGTATAAAAATTTGCATACAAAAAATGTTGTCTTATAAATACCTCTAAAACATTTACAGCAGTTACCAGGCAAACGTACCTTAAAATACTGTTACATTTGCCTCTGGCTCTATTAAAACTGAGGCTAAAACAAAGCCATTCACAACAGACAGTGCGTTTTAGTCATGAGGGAGAGCTGTGCACATTTAGTGAGATGAGGGTTCAACAAGCTCACGTCATAGAATCCTGTGGTCTCCATTCTCCAAAACAAGACAATAAAAAAAATCTCATATTCGTTTCCAGTTCTCAGCAGCTGAACTCAACATGGAGTCTGAAACTTAGCATGGGGAAAATTAAATACTGATATCTGGCCAGATTTTCATTGACTGTTTTTGAAATAGTGGGTAAAATGTGCATGAACCATAGGTATTTAGAGAGAGCCTGCATGCTTCATAGTAAAGGATGTTATTACTTTTATACCAAACCGGATTGTTTTATACTTTAAATTTATTGGAAGTTATCTTCAGATACTAAGACATACAACACATGGGGTGTTTAATATCTAAGCCAAGCACGCCAGGTCTTTGGAACAAATGCTCTGAAATGCAATATAAGTTCAAGATGTTTTAGCAGGTGGGCCATTGTGCCTCATTTAACTTCCCTTAAATCCTTGAAATAGGCAGACAATAAAACAGTGATTGCCTTAATTACTTTATTGTGTATGGTAAATTAAAATGAAATAGATAAATTTGGGTGCTCAACAAAAAAATCTCTGGCTGCTTAGTTGTTGGCCATTTCTGGATGTTTGCTAGAGCAAACAATAAAAAATTCATTTCACTAAGTAGCTAATTTCATTTGACCTACCTACATCTATATTTATATATGCTCATTCAAATTTACTTTTTTTGAAAAGTTCTTTTAGGGAACTATTCTTCTCTCAGTGTTTTACATTTTCTGTCTCCATAGAATGATCAAAATAATCTGGAAATGCAAAACAAAAATATTACATAGTAATATTTCATTTCCATACCATTCTTAATGTTTGTGGAGAGGGCCTGTATGTAGTAATACTATTGATGTACAGATACTCTGTAAACAAGGCTTTGTGTGATTGCCAGTGACTCGGTTTATAGTCATATTATAATAAGATAGAAACTGGAATATAAAAGTAAGTTGCTCCTTTAGATCTATAGGCCTCGGCCTTGGTGTAGCTGTGGCTTATGAAAGGTCCATGAATGGAGAAAAGCGTTGTGAGCTGGTGTACATTGTGTATACGTCACTGCATCATTTACAATTGGCCCCTCGCTAGGTATTTTGACTGGCCAATATGTTCCTTAATCTATAGTTAAAGTTTAAAAAACCTATTTAGGCTTTTTGTTTCATACCAGTATTGCTCTTATATAAGGCTACATAAGGTAAAAACTGTTTCAGAAACAGAATCTTTCAGCACAGAATGCAATAAAACTTACAAAAGACAATGTTCCATAATAATAAACTTATATTCTATTTTCAGCTACTTTTGTTCAACTAGAGAGCTTATATGTTGCTTTTTATTTGAAGATAAAAAATATTCTAGCCTGGGAGCACTGGCTCACACTTGTTATCTCAACATTTTGGGACGCTGAAGTGGGAGAATTGCTTAAGGCCAGGAGTTCAAGATCAGCCTGGGCAGCATAGTGTCTCTCTCTCTCTCTCTCTCTCTCTCTCTCTCTCTCTCTCTATATATATATATATATATATATATATATATGTATATACACATCTATATCTATACATATCTATATATATAGAGTCACTATTTCAGTTGTGTATATATATACAATTGAATATATATATATATATACATATATATATATATATATATACACACACACACACACACACACACCCCTATCTATCTATACATAGGTAGAAAGAGAGAGAGAGAAACCAAAGATCTCTCTCTCTCTGTATTTAGAAAACCCCAAAGGCAGCTGTCACAAGCAAACAAATATCTATGTTCTGAAACAGGTCCCTGTTAGGGAAAGCCCTGTGCTAGCTGGAATGAGGTCTGATGGACCACCCAGTTTCAAGGCTGGGTGAGTCATTCTTTCAAAAACAAACCCTTAAAAATAAAATACATTTGTATAAGGGCCTTGTGCTACCCTAACTGCAGAAATTTAAAATGCAATCACTGTTAGGGAAAGCCCTGTGCTAGAAGAAGTCAATGTTTATTTACTTTTATTATGACCCATTATCTTTACCAAATAACTTTTATTATAAAGAGCCCATGTAAAGCATAGATTTGTTGGAAAGTAAATTACAAAAAGTACCAGCAGAATAAAATGTCAGACAGAAAATTACCAAACTCCATCATTTTCAGTCATTATATAGGTTATATATTGTATAAAATGTTATATATATAAATACATATTATGAAAAATGTCAGAAAATTACCAAACTCCATCTTTTTCAGTTATTATATAGGTTATATTATATGTATTATATAGGTTATATATTATATTCCATTATTATATGTGATACAGCTAGATATATAGGAATATATTCATTTATTTTTCATCTTCTCTCCAGTGACTTGTCCTTCTAACTATGATTCTACTGTCTGTCACAATGAGTACAGGTCTGTATTTCCTGGCTCCTTACTATCAGTCTTTTCAACAAGTCATTATCAAATGAATGAATGAACCGATGTACACCAAAATACTAGACTATATATATTCTATCTCTCTGTATTTAGGATCTCTCTATATATGTATATATGTATACATACACACATATATCTATATCTATTCTGTGTATATATCCACCATGCCCAGCCAATTATGGTGGGGATATATAAACATATAAATATACATATATTTATAACATATATATTTATATGTTTTATACATTTATATTTATATATTTTCTCTATATATAGAGACAGAGGGAAAGAGACAATATATATATGTATATACTAGTATAATGCATTTTATAATATTGTGCTTAAAAATAATTGTATATATTTATAGGTATCTGATAGTTACCTTAAATAGCTAGTTGAAAAGAATAACAATAGATGAATATTGCGTTTCTTGGTGCTAAAAGAGTTTTTATTATTTATATATGTTGTAATTTGTGAAACAGACATATAGGCATGCAATGTTTATGAGTTTTTTGTCTTTAAATTATGTCATCCTGAATTATTTGAATAACCATAAAAGAATAAATAAAATGCAGTATAACTTACTCATGGAGCTCTCCCACTTAATAAACATCACTAACCCGCTGGAGATAAAATAAAAAATATATAATTCTGCTAAAACAGGAAAAGTCACAACAGAAAATGAGAAATGTCTGAATCAAACTAAGTTTCCTCTTTCCAACTGGAGAGACATATTTTGTGTTCACTTGGACAATGTGTAGAACCAGAGATCAGCTAGGTCTATATCACAACTGAAAACGATGGAGTTTGGTAATTTTCTACCTAACATTTTATTCTGCTGGTACTTTTTGTAATTTACTTTCCAATATATCTATGTTTTACACGGGTTCTTTATAATAAAAGCCATTTGGTAAAGATAATGGGTCATAATAAAAGTAAATAGACATTTACGTCTTCTAGCAATCAAAATAATACTGAATATCTTCATTTATTTATCATCATCTTTCCTGTGACTTATCCTTCTAACCATGATTCTAGTGTCTGTCACAGTGAATACAGGTCTGTATTTCTTGAGTTTCTTACTGTCTATCAGCCTTTTCAACAAGTTGTTATCAAATGAATGAATGAATCAATGTATACCAGATAGACTGTTTATATATATATAAAAACATTATATATTATATATTATATATATAAAACATTATATATTATATATAATATATATATAAAACATTATATATTATATATAATATATATATAAAACATTATATATTATATATAATATATATATAAAACATTATATATTATATATAATATATATAAAATATTATATATTATATATAATATATATAAAATATTATATATTATATATAATATATAAAACATTATATATTATATATAAAACATTATATATTATATATTATATATAAAACATTATATATATTATATATAAAACATTATATATTATATATTATATATAAAACATTATATATTATATTATATAAAATATTATATATATATAAAAAACACATATATTTGTTTAAAATTATTGTTAATCTTCAGTAATTCCAAGACTGGACATTTTAACTTCTGTCTCTTTCACGATAATCATCAAGATTAAAATAATTTTGAACTTAGAGGCCAACGCAGGCCGATCACTTGAGGTCAAGAGTTCGAGACCAGCCTGGCAAACATTGTGAAACCCCATCTCTACTAAAAAATACAAAATTAGCTAGGAATGATGGCGGGCACCTGTAATCCTAGCTACTTGGGAGGCTGTGGCATGAGAATCACTTGAACCCGGGAAGTGGAGGTTGCAGTGAGCCGAGATCACACCCCACTGCACTCCAGCCTGGGCAACAGAGCGAGACTCCATCTCAAAAAAAAAAAAAAAAAAAAAAAAAAGGATGTAGTGGAAAGGAAAGTACTTTGAACTGTGAGTAGAGGATCCTGCATTTTAGTTTATACTTTCTCTGGCCCTGTAATCTTGGACAGATCACTAAACTTGTCTAACCTTTAGTATCTTTACCCATTTTTAGAAAAGAAAAAAAAATATAGCAATAATTATTAATGTACTTCTGCTTCTTAAACTCTAATAAATTAAGTAAAATTTTACCTAATATGAATTATTCCAAAGCCCTTTTCAGAAATAAAGCATTAGTTAATTCATTGCTTTATTGGTTCAGCAAGAATTTGAGAAGGCCTACCCTACCCTGGGCCCTGGTTTTATATCTCTTCTAAATCAAAAGTAGGGGAAAGGGCTAGACACTGACTCCTTTGCACCCATTGTATTCATGTTACTCCAAATCCTAAGGAACATGTCATTCCACTAGATATTGCTACTGCTGTCACCTTACTTACGGGAAGCCAGGTGAGAGACGCATGTACTGCACCACACGTTCTGGTTTCAGGGATGAAGTATGTTCTATGCAGATCTGTGAAACAAGTGGTTTAACTGTGACACAGGTAAGTCAGGGTTTGCAGTCGCTGACCCTATCAATAAGTCAGTCAAATTAAAACTGATGTTGAATTCCTTGTTTCATTTTATACAGCCAATCTGATTTTAATAATTGGCTGGAACTCCAAAAATATTAAAACACCATCACAAAATGGTAAACGTTTAGAAACCTTTTAGGTTGAGATGAAATGCTGTTTTACTAAAATAAAAAAAAAAATTGATGGTAATAATGCTGAAAACAGTAAACAATCAGTCTTAAAGTCTCCGATCTCTGTTATGGGATAACAGACTTGTTCTCTTTGGTCAGGTTAAACCCTCACATGTCCTGCAGATGAGCGATTGTATAATTCTAATACTTCAGATTTCATTAAAATGAGTATACCAGGAATAGCCAATAAATTGGGTGGGGAGGAATTCGGAACCTTGATAAGTCTGGTTTTAAGATGGAGAATAAACTTATCTCACACAGATTTGCTGTACATTTATTCTGGAGTGTATTTGCAATATAAAATGAACTTTTAAACCCTTAAAAGAAATGATTACAAAATCATGAAGTTACATAGCTCAGTAAGGTCACCTGACTTCACTGCATGGCTAGAAGATGTCATGTATCATTGCCCTTAATCACAAACCAGACTCCACTGGATTCTGTGGTTTGCTCATAGGTCAGGCCTGTCATACACGTGGTGTGGGATTCTTCTCCAGCACAGATGCATTCTATTTTATATTAATAAAATAACCCTGCCTAATAATAATAATGTAGTACACAGATGCTCTAAGGAATTAAATGAACTGCTTATTGGTATACTCAGAACTCAAAGCATTTCAATGTACAGCTTTTCATTTGCCCTGTAACTATTTGTTATTTCCAAACACCTCATTCTCTGCAGTAGCACTTTCAAACACATTTATAATGAAATCCTGAGAAGGTAATTCATCAAATTGCAGTGTGAATTGGAAGAGGTTTTATAGCAGTTTTATTGGAAAGAAGACGTTCAAAAAACAAAAATGAGTAGTATGTTCCAAAAAAAAATCAACTTTCCTGCAAAAGAAATCTCAAAGCTCTTTAAAAACAATTGACTAAGCAAATGAGAAGGACACTGTCTGATGAGCTGTGGCTCACTCCAGGCCCCAGATGGTCAAAATGGCCCCACTGTGAGAATTGCAGCGTGCTGATGTGGGCATCAGGGTATAAATAAAATCCAAGGATTTCTGAAAGGTTTTGGCCTCTTTCTTATGTTTCATTATTTATTTAACAAATGTTCAAATGTAGACTACACATCCCTTGGCCACAATTTTCCATAGATTAGCTTTTAATTTTCAGCCAGTGGTCTTACCTACTGCTGGTCTTAATATTGAAAGTAAACAGTGATTCTGATTGGAATGAAATGCTATGGCAGTAGTTCATACTGGGATCACTTTCTGCAGATGTTTTCATTTTATTTTCTGTTTACTCAACCTTGCAGAGAAGCCAATATTAGTAACATACATGATATAATTCAAGATTTTTTTTGACTGCAGAAACCATTTGAAAGGGTATCAAATTACATTGAAGGTTACATTTATATAGCAAAATTCCATGGCCAATTTATGCAAAATGAAGGGAAATGGTTAGCCTATATGTTTCATGAGGTATTTGTGTAACCACTCTCCATGTTTTAAGAAAATAACACTATGACTGTATTTATATATATGGTTACCAGGGAATTTAATGTTAATGACTAAATCTGTACTTATTTTAAATTCTAGGAGAACTCAAATTCTACCATTTGCAGAATAAACTCATTTAAAGTATGTGTTACTGGCAGATTTATAAACACATTTTTCTGATATGTTATTTTTCCACACTGTCATATTTCCACAAATTTCAAAATACAATGTCTATAGAAAATATTCGACTCTCTACCAAAAATGTCCAAAGTCCAAAATACAGTATTCCACAGCATACAACACCAAAGTGCAATAATATAGAAGAAAAAAATCAACGCTTTAGTAAGCATACAGAGTTTGATTTCATTCCTATATTTTACTCCCATTATGGAGGTGCTTTTATGATTTTATGGCAAAGAAATTAGTTTCATGCCACTAACAATCTTTAAAATCATATTTTGTTATTTGTGTGAAATTTTTATCTAAACCA
Source organism: Homo sapiens (assembly GCF_000001405.40). NCBI lineage: Eukaryota > Metazoa > Chordata > Mammalia > Primates > Hominidae > Homo > Homo sapiens. The sequence goes on along the minus strand of NC_000004.12, from coordinate 181,076,902 downwards.
ATAAGCTCTCCAATAAAGAGAAACTATATATGTATGGGTGTGTGTGTGTGTGTGTGTGTGTGTGTGTGTGAGAGAGAGAGAGAGAGAGAGAGAAACAAAGCAAGAATAAAATATTTTCTTCTGTGACTAGCTATGAGTATTAATATTCACCTAAATATTTTTTTCTAAAGATCCACAACCAAGAAGATAATAACATACAATTCATACTGACTTCTTAAAGATGCTCTTTATTAAACCTACTATTTAAGCTGATTTACAAAGTTGTATTTTCACAAACATGTTAAAAACAACGTAAAAGCAGGACTATTTTCACATTCTCTGTTAGAAACACAAGTAGTAAGCTTTTTTTCTTAAGTGTCTTTTTAACGAGTAATTTTCTTTCATTTTTTTTTCTTTTTTAGCAGACAGTATTTACGTGAATTTTATTCTGGAGTTCAGATAATTTTCTCTTTCTTAATAGGTAACTAGTCAAAGGCCATTTGTAACACTAGCAAATGAATAATGTGCCTTCTAAATCTCTCTTTTGAGATTATTAACTGTTTACTTACGAGTATAGATTACCTTTGTAATATTTCAGGACTCATTTAGCCCACTTTCTATTTAAAAACATCCATCATTGTTTTCAAAGTACTATGATAGCATCGTGATTCAATTTACAATTCTAAATAGTGTTATTTTCACACTTTTTCACCAAAGGTACTCAAAGACATAAAGAGAGCTAAACAATTCATCAATTGCCTATGTCTATAATGATACAGTGATTATTCCAACTCTCTCATTTTTTCTAGTTGATATCATTGTACACTAGTTCAGCTGTGTACAGAAAAAATGCACATCATATCTTTCTCCATTAGCAAACACTGCACAAAAAGGGTTACAGTTTATCTTTGTGAAGATTTCTCTTAGGAGCTTTTAAAAAAGTGTGAGCCTAGGCAGAAATGCATATAGCTATGATGTCTGCGTTCATATTTGTAGCAAGATTCTTTTTAATGTACCTATTAGTGTGAGCTAAACAGTTTGAATGTTGAAAGGAAGTGGCATGCAATTGATGTATAGTTCAACAGTCAATGGAATGCAGAGCTCATTAAATAGAATACATTTTATATCGCATCTTGAGTTGCAGATAGTTGAAACCTCGGTGCTTACATATTTCCAACATAACTATGCTAGTTAAAAATAAAGAATTAAGTCTACACAAAATCTTTACTCTCCTTCACGTAACTCACCACTCATTAAAATGTGGGCAACTGAAACTTTGCATTCGGCCTCAACATAATGTGATGATTTTATTTAAGGGAGAAATTTGACTAATTTACAGTAGTTACAAATTATAGTCGTGTTTAATGAGTGCAAATTATCTTCTAAAAGATGCGACATTACCGCAGATTCTGTGGTGCCAACATTTCTACCCAAACACAGAGGAAAGGGATGGTTCAAAGTTGGCCCCAGGGGGAGTAAATTGGGTTCTTGCCTAGGGCACATATTTTGGAGTAGGCATGGAATTCAAGCACTTACTATAGGTATTGCTGTCCGTTTCATCTAATCACCTGCGGCTGTCTTTGCAGAGCTTCCAGGAGGCTGCAAGACTTCATGCTTAGAAGCTTCATCAAGACATCCTGACATGAGCTGGATATAAGGCGCCTCAGGGCAACCTTGAAGCGGAGTGAAGGTTATTGTGGCTAAATGAATAAAGCTAGACAGAAAAACTGTCGGCAGCTTATATAAGGAGCAAGGTGATTCTTGGTGGTTTCAGGCATAAAATTTTTAGGGGAAGTGGTCGCACAGACATAGGATTAGGTGTCTCAAATCTAAGCTGACTTTTTCTCCCACAATTGCTGTATTTATTTTTGCACTTAACAGTGTGGCAATATTCATCTATAAATTAATCTATTACTTATTACATATTCATGGATATTACATATCTACTGAAACAGGAAATTTCCCTTGGCTCCTTCGTGGGAGGGAACTGGAATGCGAGTGCTGGAGCTAGCCAGCTGCTTTGGCACTGGCAGGGGCAAACTCCATTCACTTGAGCCCTCTGTGCTCAACCCCTGACAGGAGGGAGTATGCAGGTGAGCAGGTGCAGGAGCCAGGGAGAGCGCTTTTGGGTGCTGGCAGAAACGAACTCCATAGTGGCCTCGTGGCAGCATCCAGGGGGTGCCATGACCCCTGAAGTCCCAGAATGCACGTTACAGTGCTCTTTTAGCTCTGCCACGTCCATGGACAGCTAAAGTGTTAACAGCTCAGTGGGCCCTCTGCCTTTTTGTGTGAGGTGGCTACTTTCTGCCAGCAAGGGCAGAGGGTCAGTGTGACAGCCTTTTGCATCCACACCCGTGGTACTTGAGCTCTTGTTCGGTGTCCAGGAAAAATCAGATTGCACAAATAAATTGAAGGGTGGTGAATGCAGAGGATTTTATTGCTGATGGAAGTGGCTCTCAGCAGGAAGGGGAGCTGGAAAGGAGATGGAGTGGGAAGGTGATCTTCCCCTGAAGTTTAGCGGTTTCCAGCCAGATTCTTATCCGAAGTCACGCTGTCAAGCTGTCCCTCTGAAGGCAAGCTACTTCTCTCCAACATCCAACCATAGTCTCTGACATCCATCTGCTTCTCCTCTTCTCCTCTCTCTGCCAGCAGAGCCTGGGGTTTTTATGGGCACAGGATGGGGGATGGGCTGGACCATGGGTGGTTTTGGAAAAGGCAGCATTCAAGTGGGAAAACAGGAATGTACGTTCTCACTTTGGGCTGCGGTTCCAGGCTGGAGTGTAGGGCCCAGAATTTCCCTGCCTCCTGTCCCTATCACTATTGTATCTTAGATATTCATGGATCCTAGGATCATGTATCCATGTAATCCAGTACAGAACCAATCTAATCCAGAACATTCACTGAAATTATTACCCTGTTACTGATTTCAGTCTTAAAACAGGGGGCAGGTAATACATGTCATTTTTAAGTGGTTATTTTAATGAAAACATGCACTGAATTGGGAATTACTATGTAAAATTTCTGCCACTTTTAGAATTCAAATACAATAAATAAAACACAACAACTTAATGTAATAAAATCACTATGAGATAAGTTATCACAGGGAAATAACTAATACTCAAAATGCAAAGAAAATTTTTGATTTTTTTCCAATGCTTTTGCATCTGACCTTTAGTCCTTTAGTACCAATTTAATAGGTTCAAAGTAACACACACACACACACACACACACACACACACACACAAAGATAACGGTGACTTATTTCTTATCCCATAGCTCAGGGATCAGCTTTTGTAAACTTGGAGAAGGAAACTGTGGGTTTATGCAGAGTTAAAGGTCTTGTAAAGCTGTTTTAAAAGGGACTTTGAAACTAACCATTCACAAACCCAAGAAATGCAAGAAGTTTCTTTGTAAAATAGGTGTAGAAGTGTATTGGAGATGACAGTTGTACAGGATTCCAGCTTGAGGAAAGCAGTTCTCCCCTGGAGCTAAGCATACATTTTTGTTGCTTTTGGAGAAAAAAAAAGAAAGATGGGGATAAAAGAGGTGCTATTGTACCTGATCTACACTGACTGAGCTGTTTTAGGGCTCAACAGAAAGTTAAACTTACTATGGTGTGTTTCCCCCGCCAACACTTTTATTTCTGTTTCTTAGGTAAATCAGAAATACAGAGTCATCTTTTCTTTCTGTTCCCTCTACCACCGAATTACTCTTTCTAATAATTACTATGGTTTAACAGAAGGAATTAATTAGACCAGATAAAACTACCAATTTCAGAGGTTATCATTTTTTTTGACATGAGGAAAGAAGTTGGTAAGGCATTGAAAATACAAACGTTTAGCATCATAGTTTCTGGTAATAATGACTCACATATTTAACATTACTCAAAAATATTCCAGGAAAAAATATATTACTATTCCCTCTTTCAATCAAACAGAAAGATCTGAATTTTGACAAATGCCAATGGCCTTAAGTGTTAGACTGTGACTTTTTGTTGAAAATTACTTACGTATTTGAAAAATTATAGATCCTAACAATCATACAGAAAAATAGTAAAAACTAATGTTAGCAACAGGCTAGGCACTTTATTAGGTATTTTCCACATATGACTTTATTAAATTCTCATAACGACCCTTTGAGATAGGCAATATTTATTACAGTATCTGCTTTTAAAAGATGAAAAATCTTGATCTCAATGAAGTGGAATACTTGCAAGTGGCTTTGAAGAAATGCACATCGTGCAAACTTTTTGTGAAATTTCAAACGGCAGAACACTATCACCAATTATGCATCAGGTTAAAATAAAACAACAGCAACAACAAAAAGACTCACTGGGATTTAAATATTCTGAAACATGGGAGGGAGGGAGAAGGCAGGTGTCACTTTCGGAAAATGTAAGCAGAAATTAGGTAAGGAATGTAATAAGCATTATAATTAGCAACACTGGATTCAACATGCAAGTGCCATCAAAAAACAAATAATTTCTTAGTTAAATATAAATTATATTAGAATATTAAAAAAAGATATCAAAATTCAGCAAGTATTTTGTAATACCTTTATAAATGTAGATAGGTAACAGACATGTTTACAAATACAACAAAGCTCAGGTTGTTAATGTTAACCAATTACAGGGCCAAGCACTGCACATACCAACACCACTTCATACGTTAGCAAAATATCCCAGGGAGAGATACTAGATGCAATCAACAACCAATAACGAGCAAGGGAGAAAGAGAAGCAAGTGGAGGAGGAGGAGAAGAAAGAGAAAACATGGCAGTTATGCTCTGCATATGCACACGCATGAGCCTGTGTGACCAGGGTGCTTTTAGAGATAAAGAAAAACTAAACCTCCAAAAAGGGCAGAACGACTCTAGCAGAATTAATGGGTAATAATAAAAGCTAATCTGTAGAAAGACAGCTGCATAATACGAACTAAAGGACTAAAGTATTCTTTAGTGGCTGTATAAAAGTATTTGTGAGGGCCGGGTGTGGTGGTTCACGCCTGTAATCCCAGCACTTTGGGAGGCCGAGGTTGGCAGATCACGAGGTCAGGAGATCAAGACCATCCTAGCTAACATGGTGAAAACCCAACACTACTAAAAATACAAAAAATTAGCCAGGTGTGGTAGCACATGCCTGTAGTCCCACCTACTCGGGAGACTGAGGCAGGAGAATAGCTTGAGGGAGAGGTTGCAGTGAGCCGAGATTGCACCACTGGACTCCAGCCTGGGTGACAGAGCGAGACTCCGTCTCAAAAAAAAAAAAAAAAAGTATTTGTGAGACATTAGACATAGATAACAAATGAGAATATAACTTTCGTTTTATTAGAGCAATGGGAAGTATACAAGAAATGTTTTAAGTGTATGCATTCACCACGCAGTTTTACCTCTTCTGCTTCATTTGAATAAAACAGCAGCCACATTAACAACTGTGAAATTGATTTTTTAAATTATGAAAATTATAAATATATTTATACGATCACTACTAAATTAGAATGATCCCCAAAATTTCAGTGACAAATATAAGTAAATATAAAAAGAAAGGTGTGAGAAGCTCAGTTCACATCTTATGTGCAAAATACATTAACTACGATTCATTGTATTGATTCCTGTCTTAATATACACAACAGTGATCTCAGCATTCATTCTGCTCAAGTAATTACTACCAATCAGGAGTCTGGCAAAAATAAGATGATCATATATAGACACATCTGGGCATCCCTTTTTGTGTTTAGCAAAAGAGCTCATAACTTAATGGATTCATCAGCCTGCGTTAAGTCCACAGGAGTTGTGTTCACTCTCTAACATCCAAGAGGAGCCAGCTAAGTGCTTTTACTTTGGTGTTACTTATGAAAAAGAGATAATTAATGAACCGATTTGCCCAGCATGTTAAAAACAATGACCACAAAAAATTCCTCAGATCTCTGCTTCTTACCACTTGATTATGTTTTATCATGAAAGTGATAATACATAAGATTGGCTTCATGCAAATTCAAAATTCACTGATTGTTTTCTACAACCATTAAAGTATAACAAAATGTTTGGTGCAGATAGACATATTACAACTTTAAAATAGAATATTATTTACATCATCATTTGTCACAAAGTGAAAAGATGCATATTGTCAATTAGTTTTCAAGAATCCGTTTTTCTTTTATAAAGCTGCTGTGAACCATGAACTTAATCTTTAAAGATGTTTCAGTGGTAATCTGCTACAGTCTCAATGTTTGTCCCCTCCCTGGAACCCCCCAGATTTCATGTGTTGAAATCCTAACTCTCAAGGTGATTGTGTTAAGAGGTGGGGCATTTGGGAGGGTGATTAGGTCTTTAGAGGCCCTCCTAAATGAGATTACTGCTTTCATAAAAGAGCCCCAAGAAGCTCTATCACCCCTTCTACTGAGGACACAGCTAAAAGGCACTGTCTGTCAACTGGGAAGTGGGTCCTTTACTGGATACTAAACTTGGATTTCCCAGGTCCAGAACTGTGAGAAATAAATTTATGCTTATTTATAAGCCACACAGTTTATGGTATTTTGTTATAGCAGTCACAAATGGACTAAGAAATACACCATCATAACTCCTTTTCATTTTAAAATTTTTATTATTATTATTTGTTATAGAGACAGGGTCTAGCTGTGTTTCCCAAGCTGGAGTGCAGTGGCATGATCATAGCTCACTACAATCTCCTGGGCTCAAGTGATCATCCTGCCTCAGCCTTCCAAGTGGCTAGGACTAAAGGTGGGCCTCGCCACCATGCCTATATAATTCACCATCATCCTTCTCCACGTTTTATATACCACACAAAATCAAATCAGGCAAATTAAAGAAAAGTCTAATGGGAGATGGTTCTTTAACACCTCAAAAGGCAGTGCTTATACAGCAAAAGATATGGTCATTAGACCAATTGAACTTGGGTTCAAAATTTGGCTCCACACTTTGGCAATCTTGAGCAAGTGAATGTAAGTTTATTCAGTTTTTCTTAAAATTTAAGAAATACTATGTTATTTCTTAATTATAAAATAAAAAGAAATAATATGTACATCTCATTCATTTAGCATTCAACGAATGCTAACATCTAGCATGTGCCAAGACACAATTATTGACACAGTTTTGAACATGGCAAAACCCCGCCTCATGGAACTTATGATGTCGGGGAGAGGGACTGCATGTATATGTGTGTGTGTGTGTATATATATATGTGTATATATATGTATATATGTATATACACATACACTTATATATACTGCATGTGTATATATACACACATAATTCGCATATTTATAATGTTAGAGATGAATGTAATGAAGAAGTCAGTGATGAGAGTGATGGTATTCATGGGTGTTGCAAACTATGTTTAAATTCTCTACAAATATTAATATTTTTTGTGTTTTCTTTTATCCTTTCCTTTTCATTTCTCTCTTCCAAGGCTTGTAACTGAGATTAAATACACATACATGCACACCCACAGGCTGGATGCTGACTGTGACTATTTCAGTGGGTTTCACTGTATTTTAAGAGTATTTTCCTTAGGCTAATTTTGTTCCTCTGTAAATATGTTGTCATTCTATTTATTGTTGCTCAAGCATATTGAGTTTAAAAGCATACTCTAGTTTTATATCCTCCTTTCCATGTTTACTGATACTTCTCCCTCAATATTTTAGTGTGTGTATGTGAAGGTGTGTAGTTTGTGATTTTTATAAATTAGTTGAATTTTGCACAAGAGAATTAACTTTTACTTCTTAAACAATATTTCCTGTTCTATTAACGTCATTTTCTTTCTCTTAAGCAACAATACTTATCTTTCACCATGGTCCTCTTAATTTTTTTTCCAAATTTTATCTTTCCTTTTTAAAAACTGTTATTGATGACATCAACCACAATTCTTAATCACCTGAGTTTGCCAATGTTAGAAGCCAACATTGAGTTGATATAATTATAAGAAAAATCCAAACAACATATCACTCATTTCAAACTTCACCATTGTGAAGATTAAATTGTATATATATAAATATATATAAAAATATATATAAATATATATATTTTTATATATATATATAATTAGAACACAGCGGGGCACATTATAGGTGCTCAATAAATCTTAATTAGCATCTTTTCTGTACTATCTGAGCTCTTGCAACAGCTTTCCAACTTGGTTTTCCAACTCCTAACTATCACAGGTCACCTCTCTAAAATATGAATGTAGTCTTATTACCTCCTTTAATGTTTCTTTATCGTTTTATCATAGAACACAAAGCCCTTAGCTGGAGAGTCACTTCCAGGTGAAACTATTGCCACCCTCACCGCGCATTTCCAGTGGTGATAATGCTGTATTACAAATTATCTATTCATTTTATCTCCCTCATTACACTGTGAGCTACTCATAACAGGGAACAAAATTCATTCGCTTAGTAGGTATTCAGTAAACATTTGGTAAATGAGGGGCCAGTTGATTGATTGGAATGAGTCAAATATGTGCCAACTTCTGGTTGCAGGGCAGACATGAACTTAAAAAAAAAAAGTTTTGAACAACCTGTTTCGTCGAAGGTCTCTTTTGCCCAAAATTACTTGTTTAAACAGCATATTTTCCTGAAATACTTTGGTAGTTTAAGGTGTGTTTGCTCTAACTTTGGTAGTTTAAGGTGTGTAGCTATCTTTCATAGCTTCGTGCAGGAGTGTTTTTTTGTTTTTGTTTTTTGACAGAGTCTCTCTCTGTCGCCCAGTCTGGAGTGCAGCAGCGCGATCTCGGCTCACTGCAAGCTCCACCTCCCGGGTTCACACCATTCTCCTGCCTCAGCCTCCCAAGTAGCTGGGACTACAGGCGCCCACCACCACACCCGGCTAATTTTTGTATCTTTAGTAGAGACGGGGTTTCACCGTGTTATCCAGAATGTTCTCCATCTCCTGACCTTGTGATCCGCCCGCCTCGGCCTCCTAAAGTGCTGGGATGGGATTACAGGCGTGAGCCACCGCGCACGGTCGAACTTTTTTTTTGAGACGAAGTCTTGCTCTGTCGCCCAGGCTGGAGTGGAGGGTCTCAATCATGACTCACTGAAGCCTCCACCTCCTGGGTTCAAACGAGTCTACTACTGCCTTAGCCTCCCAAGTAGCTGGGATTACAGTTGCACAACAGCACGCCTGGCTAATTTTTATATTTTTAGTAGAGACAGGGTTTCACCATGCTAGCCGGGCTGGTCTCAAACTCCTGACCTCAAATGATCTGCCCGTCTCGGACTCCCAAAGTGCTGGGATTATAGGTGTGAGCCACCACGCTCGGCAGCAGAAGTCATTTTTAACAAGCACTATCATCCTGCTTCCCTCACCTCTCCCTATTCTCCTAATAGATACATGGCCTTCAAAAGCACATACAAAATTTTTCCCAAGTGCTGCTTTGCCACATTCTCATTTAATTTACACTTCTTCCCCTATGAAGAGCAAAATCCTCACACCGGCATTTAAATACCTTCCCAGCATGGTGCTCTGTTTTCTTGAGATTGTGGTCTGCTATGACCCTCAACTCCAGGGTTTCGTCACCAGCGACTGTCTGCCCTAAGTACACCTTGCTCATGCTTTCCTCCAATGTCTGATGTGTGCTATTGCTCATGCATTGGTATGGCAGATGTGAGGCTGGGCCACCCATATCTTCCTTCAAGTAAGGACTTGCTCCCTATCCATGGTTAATATGATCAGCGACCGTCTCCAGGTCTCAAAAACTTCAGGGACAGCCTCAGCTGCAGAAGGCCAACTAGGCCAAGGTCAAGTCCTTTACACTCCTGGTGATCAACCCAGGAAGAGTCTGAAGATCCACTTTGGCCTGATGCAAGATGCTATGATGGGACATGCAGGTTCCTGACATCTTGCTGGGTTGGCTGAGGCTTTGTCAGGCTCCTACCATGGTTTGACTCCTCCCACTGCCCAATCCTGCTTAAGTGTACATTCCAAATAAACATCCTGAGCCCCAAACCCCATCTAAGCCTCTGCTTCCAGAGAACCCAACTGACAACAAGTGGTCTTCTATATCTTCTCTTCTGCCTGCATCATCCATCAGTTAATAGCCAAATCATTTTCCAGGTCTCTCTCGACCGATATGGCCCAAGTTGAACCTATTCTAGTCTACCCTTTACAAGCGCTTCCTACCTTCCAATTCATTTTGAAAAACAGTTTCTTTTATTCTTAGTAACCTTTCTCTCTCTTTCTATCTCTCTCTCTCTGTGTGTGTGTGTGTGTGTGTGTGTGTGTGTGTCTTTCACTTATCAACTGAAGCTGTTCTATTAACTTCTTAGAGTTGGGGTCAACTCATTCTTTTCCTTTCTATCCATAGCATGAAATATACTTCTAAGGAAGAAGTACGTAACATTTACTGAATGGAAAGTAACATATTTTAGAGAACACATACATTGATGATTTCTATTTGGTTCCCCCCACTTTTGTATCAGTGATATCTAAGATAATTTGGTTAATCTTAATTTGAAAAAGAAAGAGCAACTTTATATATTTTTTACTATATACAATTTGAGTGATGCATTTTTCTGGAACTTTGATAAGGGAAAACATTTAGAGTTTAGAACTATTTTACATTCTTGTTTCAATATTTGCATATAAACTGAAGCATGATTTTTAAAACCTCAGAACCAGGGGTAAAATGAAATGCCTATTAATGTGAAATCAGCACTAAATAATGTACTAAAATGAAGTCTAAACAAAACACCCGCAAACACACCAATATCTCCAAATTATATTTAACAGAAGCGATTCTGTTTGGTTGTGATGTGGCAAGTCAAATTCAGGTCTATAATCAAAGTATGTGTTAAGTTACTAAAGATATTTCAGGTGGCTGTTATTATGAATAAGAAAGGTACACTTAACTGCCAAGTAATAAATCTCACCCTCAACGAGATGAGATGGCTCACTAATTGCTTCTAACAGAAACAAGCAACTTTTTTCTTTGCTGTTTCTATGAAAACGTGGAAGATTAAGGGAAATCTTTATTTAGATGTTTGATTCTCACTCAATTCCTTTAAGGTTTTCAGTTAAATCTAGAAATTGTGATGTAAGTTGGTATATACTGAAACCTTAAAAAAAGTTTGCAAGAATCCTGGCTTCTACAAATGTACATGAAATTAAATTAAAAATCTCTTGAAAATAATATAAATGTGCGTTCTCAGAAATGAAAATCTACTTCAACTCCCTACATGTCCTTCTGTTGATTAGAACACTACTGTGCTTCAGCTGTGAGAAGTTTCTTTTATTCTTTTAAGAGCTGAAACGCACGCACACACACATGCTTTTTGTCCTTGAAACTCTGTCTCTGATTGCATGTTGTTGAGGAAATAGGAAGTTTTTGGCATTTTAAAAACTGTTGCCTTTTTTCTTCCTTGCTATTTAGAATAGTGTGATATTTGCATTAAACCTTCCTCCTTTTAAGATTAGTAAACTAATGTATAATTTTAATCCTTTGGATACCACTTTCTTTCATGGAAAAATAGGTTTTTGTCTGAGATATATAGTTTGCAGATAACCTGTGTGTTCGTTTCTTTCTATAAAATACTCTTACTTCAAGGCAAAGTAAGCTTAAAAATGTGCTTAATGGAATAACTGATTAGCTGTTGGTCGTTCTATGGCAGAACTGCATTTGTATTGGTAATCACTTATTCACACACAAAATTAAAGCTTAGACTAGAATCTGAAAGCTGTGATGAAAAGCCCACCTCAGACAATCTTTTGAGCATACAGAAGAAAAATTTATTTGTTCTCCATTGACACTTTGTCTTTGGAAAAGGAGTAAGGGTCCAGAAATAAGCTAAAAGAATAAATATATTTGATATAGTATTCTATGTAAGAGACTCTCAAAAGATAGATATTTTTGCTATCTTCACAAACAGTATACCATGTTTTCTAAAATACTTTACCTGAATGTTGTAGTCCAGAGGAAGGAGAATTTCCCCTGAGATAAGAGCAAACACACTCTTTGAAAGTAATCCCAGGTAGGAGGATTAGAAGGATAACTTGAAGCTTCATTTCTTTTATCTCATCACATCTTTGCTCCCTCACAGGAGTATAAGTGATAAATTCTGTTTAAAATAACACCATATTGGAGCTGCACAAACTAAAGCAAAACTTCTGCCCAACCTGTTTTGGGCAACAGGGAAAGAGAGACTGTCCCTCACTCACTCTTGGAAAGTTTATATTATATGGGAGACTGACACGCCCTGTTTTTTTTTAGACTATGTGCTTGAACCCGGAAAGAGTGGGGCACGGCCAATTTGAAGTGGGTGATTTGAATGCTTTAGCAGAGCAAAGATGTGTTTCATTGTAAATCATACCAGGAAAGATACAGTAATTCCACAATCGCAAGGATTTTTCAGAATGTTAAGACTTAGCATTAAGGTAGGAGAGGGTGGTTAAAAGATGCATCTCATCCTTCATGCTCAGTATTCTCTTCTTTAGAAAGAGCAGCAACTGGATGGCACAGAATGAGTTCTGACGTTTACATCAGAAGATGGCCCTGAACCGGAGCCAAAGCTGGCCGAGGAGCTGGGGGAGATTCTGAGACTCACACTTTCATTTGTGAAGTGAGATGCTGACTCTATTGTTGGTTTTGTTTGGGGGTTTGATGCTGAAATAAAGCAATACACACGAGGAAATTTACTGGCATTGTATTAAAAAACAAAGTTAATGTATGATGATGCCGTAGAGTGATTCATGAATGGCATTATGAATATTTTAAAAACACAAAAGGAATTAAAAGAGTATACTTGGATGTTAATGAAAATAAAATTTCATTGAGAACAAGAATCTTGGTAAACATCAGTTGATATTAAAAATTTATTGCTTTTAAAGGAGTCTGAAATGTTCTTTTGTCAAGGTTAATGCATTAAAATGGGGTACAGCTTAATCTAGACAACACAAATTTTAATGTGTGATTATTTTATAAGCTCTAGGTTGAAATAATTTTTATCTACATGGGAAAACTGAATAGATTATAAAAATTGTTTAAAAGAAAGAGAAATTTCAGATGTCAAATATGTGGGAAACTTAATGTCATTTTATTAACTAGAGATAGAAAATGAGGTACATTAGTCTTAGACAGTATTTAGAGCAGTTAATTGCTAAGTCACCAAAACAATCTATTCTACAATGACCTTACTTTTAAAGTAGTTCCATGGCATGAACTCAAGGACATTACTGCAGCAAGGTTCTTAACAAATCAGTCATATTCATTGCATTTAATAATCTATTAGGGGCCTTCACTAGAGCGAACAACTAGCATTTCTTTTAAACTCTTCCATAATTCAGATTTTATCAATGTGGACTAACCCTGTGGTCAATTAAATCTGAAGTAGTGCAGTTTTTATGTTTTCTGAATATATTGGGCCTGAAAGCAAATATTATTTTATGATATGTTAATAACACAAGGAATTTTACTAGTAATATTTAGTGGAGCATAAAGGTACCTAAGGCTCTGTCTATTTGCACAGTAGCAGAACGGATCTAAGAACGATTCCAACCATAACTCTTAGTCAAACACATTAGCACAGTCCATTTACATAGTAGAATGCTCAGTACAGACCTAAGAATATTCTTTAAAGTTACAGTTGGAATATTTCTCCAAAATGTCCTTAGAAATGTGTATACATGCCAAGTCTGAAGTACGAATTACAAATTATAATGTGGCTCTAATTTGTTATCATCTGAAAAAAAAATCTAATTTGTAACAGAAGAAAAGTTTTGTTTCAATCTAAACTCCTGAGGACCAATTCAAAAGAATGAGAAGCTTATTGTTTCCTTGAAATTATTGACCATACATTTTAAAACATCAAAATATTCTGAAAAATGTCTGTAGTGGTCTCAACATCTGATTTAGTTTAGAATCTTGGCAGACAAGCATAAGTGCCAAAATGTTCCAGATGACCAGTTAGAATGCAGGGGATCCATAGAATTACTCTTAATGATGCAAAGTACAAATAAATCCCTACAAAATAAAAAGAAATTTATTCCTTTTATTTGTAGCTTATGGATACCTGAATGCTGTTTTACTTTGCTTCCTAGTTTCTTTTTCCTTGTGTAACTTCATACATTCAGAATATGAACTCATTTTCTATTTTCTGTGTGATTCTTTCATTAAGATCAAGATCTCTCTTTTTTTTGTTCAAAACTTGCATGCTGCTATCCATAGTTAAGCAATTGATAAATGTAACTTTTACATGATAAGATTATTATAGTATCAAAAATGTAAATCAATTTTTGCTCTAAATTATTATAAATATCCCTACTTAGCCTCTGGTAATCTTCTGCTCTCATGTTTACAGAGACAAGGATCTAAAGACTTTTAAGAGTTTTGATGAATGTATGAAATTAAAGTAACTTAAATTTAATTTATTTTAATTTAAATGTCATCATGGACACAGCCATTGGCTTATTTCTGGCAGTGAGTTGAAAATGAAAAACCTTTGAGAAAATAATATTTAAAGGAGAAGTATCATGCTCCATGAATTTAAAGATCAAACTGTATTGCATCCAATGTTGTTTTAGATATTAAGTAGTATAATGTGGGATTATACCACATATTGCATTACTCAAATCTTAAGGAAAAAAAGGTTGCTATCTAAAATGTGAATATAAGATAAGTATGTTTTTCTTGGGGGAGAGGATAAACCTGTAAGGTCAGCATTACATTGAATCTAAAAAAAAACAAATAGAAAAACTTACTTGGAGATTGTTGGAATCTTATTTTAAGCATGTCTTTCCATGCTTATAACAAGCATATCTTTTTCATTACATTGTTTCATTATTTAAAACAAAACAAAACAAAACAAAAAAACCGCCTAAGTTCCTGGCAATCTCCTTCTGTTTAAAGAAAATCCCCTAGGAGGTGTGGACAGAACTTAAAAGTCAGAGTCAATTGCTTCTTAATTCAGATGTAGAGAGAGGATAGGGCATAGTGAGGAACAGGCTTCAAAAGGAACCAAAGCATGAAAGAAAGTCACCTTGTTAGCTGACAGAGAAGTGTGCTTGCCTTGGGGATGGAAGCTTTCTTGAATATTCCTGTTTTAAATGGACACTGTAAACCACACCATCATTTCCTATAGGTAGGTCCTAGATGAATCTATCCAAGATTTGTCAGACAAATGACAGGATTGCTGGACTTGCTTTTTCTTTGGTCACAAAAACCAGATAAGTGAAACATGCACATTTTTGCTGATTCAAATACTACGATAGAAACTGGCCTTAAAGGGGTCAGGAAACAAACAGAGGACCTTAAGTGACAAATACACTCCTGCTAGCTTTTCCAGTTTCTCTGTATGCTCCCATGTTACAATGGAAATCAAAACCTGTTCACTGAATTTTCTTTTAAAAGGACATGAGGAAGAAATGCGGATATTTGTCTTCGAGCCTCAATTAAACATTCAGATTCCCACACATTTAAACCATTTTATATATCAACCTCACTTTAAAACAATTAAACAATGTTAATTGTTAATATACTGTACTTGTTTGAGAATTTTGTAGTTTATTTTATAAGTTATATATAACCTTCCTGCTTTTTGAAAATTTCCACTATGCTGGACTCAATAGTCATAATGTTCTAAGAAAGGAAACTTGGAGTCACATATTACTTGCCCTTCAAGTCGTACCTTTAATTACATGATTTACCAAGTCATACCAATATTTTTCTACGTGGTTCATATATGCTCCGGTCTATGTCGATCAAGGGTACTCAACGGCCTCATCTTTTTTCTCCTATATTACTACCGTTATTTTCTTATCTGATTTTCCTTACTTTTCCTCATTGCCCTCCTTCCCTACCAGTTTCTACCAAACTTTACCTTACCATGTGGTTTCAGCATCTTGAAGACTGTTTGTTTTCTCAAGACAGGGTTATTCCACCAAATAACTTAGAAGGAGACAGAGGCACAGAGGCAGGGAAAGAAAAAGGGGAGAAAGAAGGAGAGGGAGAAAGAGGCAGAGGGAGAGAGGGAGAGAGCGAGGGAGAGAGCACGCGCGCGTGAGCATAAAGAACATTCTAATTTAAGTCCTGCTACAACAGAGGCAAGCCTGGTGGTGAGGAAGAGCCTACGTGGGGCGTGGGGGCAGGGACAATTAACTTTGTTTTGTTTTGAAAATTTATGAGAAGTAACAGCTAAACGATGATTTGAATAACAGGGTAGATTTAGCAAGATATTCCCTCCTTTGGCAATATGTAGTGATGTGGAGAAAAGCTTGTCTAGACACTGGAAGGCTCAGATGAGAACATAAGTGTTTGTGGATTTCCAAGAGTTTCATGTGGCCAAACCTAAGAGAGCGCAAGGGAGGATGGATCGGGGCTGGCGAGGCTGGGGTCAGAGCAAGGGAGCAGATGATGACACCCCATTCTGAAATGGTGGAAAGGGGTAAGAGAAAAGTAGATGAATTCAAGGGAGATAAATTGTCTAGGTGTGACTTTATGAATATGTAGTGTTAGGTGGGTGAGGGTGCTTCCCAGGGATCTGCCCAGGGCACTTAAGTGAATGAATAGTAACTAGCAACTTTCCCTGATTTAGATAAGCCAGAGGGAAGAAAAGGATGGGGGTAGGGTGGGGAAGATGTTCCAACTCAAAGGATATCTCTTCATCACTTCTGAGTTTGCCTCTCTTTTCCTTAAAATTCTTTCAGGCAGAGAGCTTCCCATTATCCTGCCAAAATACCCGCTCCTTCAAGTTGCTTGCTACTTCTGCTATTGTTAGACATATATTCTTACTGTCTCTCATGTGAAGAAATAAGCAATAGAGACCAAATTCCTTAGAGAAAGTAATTTTCTTTTTTTTCTTTTTTTTTAAATTTTATTATTATTATACTTTCAGTTTTAGGGTACATGTGCACAACGTGCAGGTTTGTTACATATGTATATATGTGCCATGTTGGTGTGCTGCACCCATTAACTCGTCATTTAGCATTAGGTATATCTCCTAATGCTATCCCTCCCCCCTCCCCCCACCCCACAACAGTCCCCGGTGTGTGATGTTCCCCTTCCTGTGTCCATGTGTTCTCATTGTTCAATTCCCACCTATGAGTGAGAACATGCGGTGTTTGGAGAAAGTAATTTTCAACTTGAAACCTGGAAACTCTTATCATTTTACTTTGATTTCATCTTCAAGCCTTCACTTCATTTAAAGATGGAATCCAGTGAAAAATGGAAAGAGGTAGTAAGCTCCATTCCTAGCAAGTTCTACTCCCAATGGTTTTCACATCTCAGCCTGAAAGTTGGAAACTATAGACCAGAGCTGTGGCCGGGACATGCATAATAGGTGCTGGACAAGTATTTCAAAATTAGCCAGGCTTGTTGGCGGCACACACCTGTAGTCCCAGTCTCCTACTTAGGAGGCTGAGGTGGGAGGATCGCTTGAGGCCGGGAGTTCAAGACCAGCTTGGGCAACATAGCATACCCAGTGTCTACCAAAAAAAAAAGTAGCCAGTCATGGTGGCACAAACCTGTAGTCCCAGCTACTCAGGAGGCTGAGGCAGGAAGATCACTGGAGCCTAGGAGGTGGAGGCTGCAGTGAGCTATGATCACTTCACTGCACTCCAGCCTGGGTGACAAAGTGAGAGAAATAATAAATATCAAATATTTTAAAATTATTATTAAAATACAAAATACATGTCCAGCACCTATTAACTTATTAAATATTTGCCCAAAATACTTAAGAATATATAACAAATTTATATAATTATTAAAATATATAACTTTATTTATTATTAAAATATATAATAAATTTATATATTTATTATTAAAATATATAATAAATTTACATATTTATTAAAATAATTATTAAAATGAATATATAAATTTAAAATAAATATTAAAAATAGGTGCTGGACAAATATTTCTTAAGTCAATTAAAGAATAAATAATCTATCGTTGGTTGAATACTGTTTAAATCAAATTACATAGTACTGAAGAAAAATAGACATAGATGTTTATCCAATTAAAATAAATTATTCTCAAAAATTTAATCTATATAGTTTATGCCTTGCGTATTTTGCCGAAAAATGTCCTATCTTGTAGCTAGTACTCAAAGGGCATTGAAATAGAATAACTACAGAGATTGCTCCTATATACTGGAAGCTCCCCTGTAAGTTCTTTGATCTTTACTAGCTTTTTTGCCCAAAGAATTTGTGAGCTTTTGTCGACACAGGTTAAAACAAAGAGCTGTCCTAGTGGTTGATAGTTCTTTGATATATGATTGTGCTTTTTTGTAGAAAGAATTCAGACGTCTTTGTCAGAATCGTGTATTAACATACATGCTATTATCTAAATGTTTGATGTAAATTGGATTTTATGTTTCCCACATTAAAACATTAAAGAAAGAGAAACTCCTGCGGTCAAAATGTAATACTATATGTCATTAATTTTTTTAATCCTCTAATTCAGTCTGTTAATATGACAAAAGCCAACATGAGAGTTCTCTGATATTTTCGTGACTTTTTGTTGAAAGTATTTTGTCATTTTCAATCATGTGTTTGATATAGCAACAAATCTAACTAGACAAAAATTCCAAAACTTATAATCGCTGACTTGGTTTTGTTCCTTATTTCAAACCAATATAAGCACTGGATGAAAAAATTCAATTAGGAAAAATGCACGAAAGATAGAAAATAAACATGACAACAAATTATTAGTATTATACAATGCAGCTTCCACTTTGAAAAACAAATATTACATTGAAAATGTTCAAGTATTTGAGATTTTGCTAAGACAGTTATAAAATATTCTGACATGAATACAAATATATGGAAAATATTAAATTATTTCTGCTAATTTCTTTCATTATATCAGCAACAGATTAATTTTTTAAATTAAAGCTAATTTAAAACTTTTTTTAGAATAGTATTAGACAACACTACTTAGTACTCAGCACAGATGCTGAGGTGAGTAAAAAAAAATGCAAGCTAATGATTCTATTATCAACATTTTACAGAATATTCTACATTTTGTATAACGTTACTATTCATATAGGTAATGTTAAGGCTTATATTTTCAAGTATTATTTTTCCATGTAGTGCTTTTATATACAACTGTTTTTTCCCCAGACTAAAAAAAAGTATCTTCACATCGTTTAAAGAAGTAAACTTTCACCTTTTTCATGGAGCCCTTTCAAACTGACCAGAGGAAAGCTATTAGGTTCTCAATTTTCTCTCTCTCTCTCTCTCTGTGTGTGTGTTCTTTCTTAAGAATTATAGCCCTAATAATTCATCTGCTTGTATCTGTACATACTTTCTCATTCTATAAAACACTGACATCTAAATTTACCATCCTTTTATATTTTAGTCTAGCGTTGCTCTATAAGGTGTATATATAGTGTGAGCTTCTGCTGGTCTTCCTGTTTTAAGTAACACCTTCCTAACAGGTAAGGGTGCTTCCCCCAGTAAAGCTTAGCACAACGCACAATGTCCCAGGAAACCAAATGCCCATTCTCCCCATCCCATTTTAATGATATGGCCACAAACGAAAAAGAGGATATCCCTATGCATTCTATATTCATCTTGTTTATTCTTACTTTCTTAGTGTGATAGATTGTGAACCTCCTTACTTAAAGATAAGGGATATGGGATCTGTGAGACGAAACATCAGTGGATCAATTAAGGCTATTTAGCTTAATGGTGAAAAAAGTAGTAGATGAGCTCAGGGACGTTCAAGGGGCAGTTTCATGGCTTAGAATCTACTTAGATTGCCTCGTTTCAATCGTCCTGGCTAGCACTAAAAATTATGTGACAAGGAAGGATTTTCTTAACTTCATCACACATTGTAATAAGAACTTATAACTTCTGCAGGTTTTAGATATTTTATAATAATGTGCCTTGCTTATATTAGGTATTCAATATTTGTTGAATTGTATTAAATATTGCACACAGACATCTGTTGATGGCTTCATTCAAGTTCCTAAATTCTAAAGTGAGTATTCATCATTAACAATTTTGCTGGATTTATTTTTTGAAGATATATAAAATTATACTTTTTAAAGAGTACAGATATAAATGAAAACGATTCTTTCATATTTGAGATCCTGATTTTATTACGTTTTATAATCCCTAAAATAACCTGTTTGACAAAATAATTTTGTGGTTTTAGCCATTTGAGGATCTAAAACTGGGATGAGAACATAAGATATAAAATGTATAACTGAGTAGAACATTAAGATAGGCCTATTTGGGTATACATTTTTTAAGTTAAGCGAAGACAATCAAACTTACAGGTAAATGAATTATGTATCAAACAGTTTCACTCTCTGACCTTACCAAACTGAATGAAAAAGTAAACAGTCTGTCTCCTTCTCATTAGCTAAAATAAGCAAGATTATACTTTTTAAATATATTAAAGGCTAAGAGTTTTTCATATATTGGAAAAACATTAAATGCTTAAAGTGTTCAAGTTGCTTAAAGTGATGGATTTCATTCGAATTTATAAAAAATGCAAGTATATTCTTGATGCATAGCAATAAATAATAGTTCTCTCAAGGAATACACATTTTGAGTTTCTTTTTCTAAGAAAATTTAGGTAGAGACCATATATTTCAAAGAAGTTAAAGATCAGCCAATTCAGGATAAGTTAAAATCATCTTTCCTAGAAAGTATATGCCAGTAATGTGGGAATAGAAATGATTTATCAAGTTAAGGTATGCAATTTGAATGTAGTTCAGACTTAAATAAAATAATAGCACATATTTTAAATAACATTACAGATATCAGGATAAATGCATAAAGACCAGCCATACCACATCACAACAAATTGGGGAAGAGCAGGATCCTTTAATGAAATTAAAATGATTTATAAAAATGTGAAGTTGGCCGGGTGCGGTGGCTCATGCCTGTAATCCCAGCACTTTGGGAGGCTGAGGCGGGCAGATCACGAGGTCAGGAGATAGAGACCATCCTGGCCAACATGGTGAAACCCTCATCTATACTAAAAATACAAAAATTAGCCAGGCGTGGTGGCGGGCGCCTGTAATCCCAGCTACTCGGGAGGCTGAGGCAAGAGAATTGCTTGAACCTGGGAGGCGGAGGTTGCAGTGAGCCGAGATTGTGCCACTGCACTCCAGCCTGGTGACAGAGCAAAATTCCGTCTCAAAAAACAACAAAAACAACAACAGCAACAAGGTTCGTTTATATTTCACAATCCCCTTATATTACAACATAACTGGTTGGCTAGTTTTCTCACATGTAAAGCTAGCTTGATATTTTAGTAACTATGTTATATGTATTATTAGATTTAACTTCTTGTTGAAATGGATAGGTAGCTCCCCACCCTTCAGCTATGTGAGGGACAGAGAAGAAAAGTCGGAGAAAAGGATATGATGTGTATACCCAGATTCATGCTCAACTGCATCCCTGAAAGAATGTTAACATCACAGAGTCTATAAAATGGGAAAAAAGTATATTTGGACCAAATGCTCTATTGGCCAAGTTCAGTTTAGTTATTGTTTATACGGATTGGTTTATGGTTTGCAGGAGGAGGTCTCAGATATTCAAAGACCTTTCTGGCAGATGCCTCAGCTTTGGAGGTTTGGCTGGTGCATCTATGCCATAGTAACATGTCCTGTAAAACTTCTCACATCATCTCCTAATTAATTAGAGGCATCGTTCTTCCACATCTCTACCTTACTAGAATACCTTCAAGAACTAATCTTTGGATCTAGCCTGTATTGGTTGTTGGGCAAATATTTGCTGGATTAATTGTAGTTATACTCTCAAAGTGGGCTTGTTTATGGACTGTGATAAGTGTTAAGGCACATTTCATAGAAGTATATATGCACACACAAATACAAATATATATGTCAATCTAAGTGATGGTAAGATTGTAATATAAAAAACTGCTTTCTTTCTTTCATTCTGCATCTCCTTTATTCTAAACTTTAAAAGAAAATTTTTCCTCTAGACCTGGCTGCTTCGCAGAGCGGTTTAGGTTCAAATGTGAAAGCAATGTTTTGAAAAATCAATTACTCTAACATAAAAGATTACTATATATTTCCTATAATCATCCAGCACATTGTTACCTTTTTTATTTTTTGTTTATGCTTTAAGCTTTCATTTTAGATTCAGGAGGTACATGTGCAGGTTTATTACCTGGGTATATTGTGTGATGGTAAGGTTTTGATGCACTGGATCTCATCACTCAGGTACTGAGCATCATATCCAATAGTTAGTTTTTCAACTCTTTTACCCTTCCTTCTCGCCTTGCTCTAATAGTTCCCAATGTCTGTTGTTGTCATCTTTATGTCAATGAGTACCCATTGTTTAGCTCGCACTTATAAGTCACAACATGCAATATTTGGTTTTATGTTTCTGCGTTAATTCATTTAAAATAATGGCCTCTAGCTGCATTCTGGTTGTTGCAAAGAAAATGATTTTTTTCTTTTTTTATGGCTGTGTATATTCCATGGTGTATATGTGCCACATTTTCTTTATCCAATCCACCATTGATAGGCAACTAAGTTAATTCCATGTCTTTGTTATTGTGAATAGTGCTGTAGTGAACATACAAGTGCATGTGTCTTTTCGGTAGAGTGATTTATTTTCTTTTGGATATATACCCAGTAATGGGATTACTGAATCAAATGATAGTTCTGTTTTAAGTTATTTGAGAAATCTTCAAACTGCTTTCCACAGAGGCTGAACTAATTTGCATTCCTTTCAATGTTGTGTGCTTCCTTTTTCTCTACTGCCTCACCAGTATCTACTGTTTTTTGACTTTTTCAAAGCCATTCTGACTGGTGTGAGATGGTATCTCATTGTGGTTTTGATTTGCATTTCTCTAATGATTAGTGATGTGCAACATTTTTTCACGTTTGTTGGACACTTGTATATCTTCTTTCAAGAAGTATCTATTCATGTCTTTTGCCCATTTTTTAATGACATTATTTGTTTTTTACTTGTTCAATTGTTTAACTTTCTTATAGATTCTGGATATTAGTCCTTCGTTGGATGCATAGCTTACCAATACTCTCTTCCATTCTGTAGGTTGTCTGTTTACTCTGTTGATAGTTTATTTTTCCGTGCAGAAGCTCTTTAGTTTAATTAGGTCCCATTTGTCAATTTTTATGTTGCAATTTATTTTAAGGACTTAGTCATAAATTCTTTCTCAAGGCCAATGTCCAGAATGGTATTTCCTAGTTCTTCTTCTGGAATTCTTATAGTTTGAGGACTTGCATTTAAATCTTTAATCCATCTTGAGCAGATTTTTGTATATGGTAAAAGGTAGGGGTCCAGTTTTATTCTTCTGCATATGGCTAGCCAGTTGTTCCAGTACCATTTATTGCATAGAAAATTGTTTCCCCTTTGCTTATTTTTGTCAACTTTGTCGAAGATCAGATGGCTGTAGTTGTACAGCTTTATTTCTGAGCTCTCTATTTGATTCCATTGGTCTGTGTCTGTTTTTACATAGTACCATGCTTTTTTGTTTACTGTACCCTTACAGTATAGTTTGAAGCCAGGTAATATGATGCCTCCGGCTTTGTTAGTTTTGCTTAGAATTGCTTTGGCTATTCTGGCTCTTTTTTTTTTTGGTTTCATATAAATTTTAGAATTATTTTTTCTAGTTCTGTGAAAAATGACATTGGTAGCTTGATAGGGATAATGTTGCATCTGTACATTCCTTTGGGCAGTATGGCCATTTTAACAACATTGATTCTTCCAGTCCATGAGCATGGAATGTTCTTCCATTTATTTGTGCAGTCTGTGATTTCTTTCAGCAGTGTTCAGCAACTCTTCAGTGTCAACATAATTATCATCATTTTTACATGAGAAAATTGAGGATATATAAAGTTATTGGAATTTACACAGATAACAAATGGCAGAACCTTATGTTGCTCAGTATTGTTATGTTTTCCATGTATTCCATTTGAGGAAAGAAGGAATTTCTCTTATAAACAATAAACATCTATTACAATAAGTACTCCACTAATTTTAGCTTATTTCCATGTGACAATTAGCAAGTCATCTTATATGATTGGATTTAGTTGTTTCATTATTATTTTCTTATTTTTTTTGAATTTTTTATTTTGTACAGAGGGCTCCATTGACTCCATTGACAGTTTTGATGGAAAAATGTATTGCTTTATTTTCTATCTTTTGATAGTTTGGGAAGGATAAGATAATAGTGGTTTTTTTAAGCTCAAATGGAGTAGAGTCAGGAGCTTTGCTGTTTATGTGGAACTTAGACACATCGTTTACCAAGTGGCGGGTGGTGTTAAGAGTAGGCATAAAGTCTTCTGTGTTCTAGTCCAGTAGCCTTTTTACATCATCATATTACTTTCCACATTGTGTACCAAACTCCACATTATATTAATAGAGAAGGCATTGAAAGGTCATAAACGCACAGCCCTGTCATAAATGGTGCCTTGAATGAAGTAGATTGCATTTTACTGTAATCAATGGAGTCTAGAAACTTTCATATAGCATGTGAGTTTTAATGCTATATATGTCTATGAAAGAATAATAAAGAACGATGCTCGTTCTTATTTCACTGGGGTTAGAGTGGGGCCCTTTTTGTCCCTTAATTTCCCTAATTAGTCTCAATTGTGTTCTCCCTCTACGTTAGCAGGCCAAGATAGTATCTGCTTTATTGCCATGGGAGGAAAACTAGCTCTTATTGAGCTTTATTAGATACTCCATTCTCTCATTTAGAATCCTGTTAAGTTTCCCCTTGGCATTTTCTAAATCAATTAGTTTTAGCCTTACCCTTCTTAATATGCTCCTTTTGGAGGCTCCTAATTTTAGTCCCTAACTCTGGTATTTGTAGTTGCCTTTCCCTTTTCTTTTGGGCAAAGATTTCAATCAATTTTCCCTGCAATACTGCTTTGCTAGCATCCCCCAGTGTCATATCTGTGACCTCACTGTTATCACTGTCTGCTAAATATTCAGCCCATATGTCTTTGAGCTTTTCCCTAAACTATTGCTGCTGAAGGAAGTAATTATTACTTTACCATCTTAGCACTCCCCTGTTGCTTTTCAAGGGAAATAATTCCACACCCCAGCGAATCATTGCAGGGTCCGAAACTAGAATCTTGTCAATAGAACAGCAACTTTGCCGTCTGTCTCTAGTGGGAATAGAAGAAAATGGTTCTGGAAAAGGAAGAACAGTTTATAGAATAAAATGTGAGTTGTGGCCATGAGCATACTTATTTGTTTTAAAAATCAATGCAAATGATTAATAGATTGTGTGGTTGCAAAGAATTAGAGAATGATTACATTTAACATGATGAAGTGCACTCCCACCACTATTGGGGGATTTTTTTGGTAATTTATCTAGATATTTATTTTTATAAACACACAGATAAATTACATGCACAGTAAGCCATTAATTCTGTTAAAATAATTTGTTTTTTGAGTTGGAGTCTCACTCTTGTCGCCCAGGCTGGAACGCAATGGCGTGATCTCGGCTCACTGCAACATCCACCCCTTGGGTTCAAGCGATTCTCCTGCCCCAGCCTCCCAAGTAGCTGAGATTACAGGCGGCCGCCATCACACCTGGCTAATTTTTTGTATTTTTAGTAGAGATGGAGTTTCACCATGTTGGTCAAGTCTGGTCTTGAACTCCTGACCTCAGGTGATTCACCCACCTCAGCTTCCCAAAGTGCTGGGATTACAGGCATGAGCCACTGCACTTGGCCTAAAATAAATTAAAAAAAAACTAGAGGGAAATATATAAAATATTAGTTTTAATTTTAATTTTTAAATATATAGTAGGATTAGTTATGGGCAATTTTAATTTTTAAGTTGGTAATTTTTTAAATTCTCTGCCAAAATCATATATTTATAATCAGAAAGAAAGTTTAAAAAG
Organism: Homo sapiens; assembly: GCF_000001405.40. Lineage (NCBI taxonomy): Eukaryota > Metazoa > Chordata > Mammalia > Primates > Hominidae > Homo > Homo sapiens. The sequence continues at coordinate 181,051,114 of NC_000004.12, read as the reverse complement.
CATTAATATCTAAGTGCTGGAGTGTTATGTTTGTGTTTTGTGGGGGATGTACAAACTAAAAATTTGGTTATCTTAAGGAGCTAAGAAAATGTAGTCAAAATCTTTGCAACAATATCAACTGTATCTACTGTGTTTCCAGTCAATACACTGTTTTATAAGTGTGTTTTCTTGTTAAAATAATACCTTTTCTCCATATAAGTTAAAGCAGTTTTAAGTAAATAAATTAAGACAAGTATATGGCAATAGCAGCTAGTGTCATGGGACTAGAAAAACCAGGAAAATTTCTACAAAAGACAAGCCTAAAAATATACATACATACGTGCTTAAAAATCAATGATGAATACAGGAATGTAATTACTGCTTTCTAAACAGGTTTCAACATAGCATGTAAAAGTTGAAGAAAATAATTCATTTTTCAATAACTCATTAAATACTAAGTGCCAGGGTTTTGTAGGAATGTGACATTGGAGATGTAAATGTGCAGGACATGCCATGGACTATTTGTGTTCCAATATTGCAGTGGCTGCTACAAACATTGCTGGCCTCCCTAGGGAGAATTCTCTACATGCACCATTCCCCTAGAGTATACTTAGCATAATAAGAAAGTATCCAATATAATCAGAAGTAAACATATTTCTTTTCTAATTGTTTGGAATGTTGAATCATAAGCCCTGCAGGTTAGATGGTCTTCAACCGGTGATAGGACTGTGAAGCACCATAATGTTCTCTATGTCTAAGTTGTTTCCATGTGTCATATTCACCAAGGTCAATTCTACTCATTCTCAATTCTCCTGTTACATTTTATGGCATCCTGAAAGTCTTTTACCTACAGAGCTTTAGAATCCAAAAATGATGTTGGTTTATAAGTCTCACGGATACTGAGAACACAATTATATGAAAGTTCTAGGAGCATGTAGCTTTTCCGTTGGGTTCTCATGTCAATGTCAGGGGCAGAATGATAGGTGAGGACAGCAGTCATCTGATTAGTGTCTTGTGAGAGGCACCATATTTCCACTACTGCCTCTTCCAAAATTATGATCTTCATTGGTCTTGACAAGAACCTAAAATTTGTGTCCTATTTACTTATGAGGGAAACCATTAAGGACAATGGAATTTACTTTTAATAAGTTACAAAATTAAATAAATTAGCATTTTTCTACCATAGTATATGGCAGGTATTTTTCACTTCACATGTACCATGTTTGTTCAAGCTTTATCAAGGCATGACAAACTGAATGGACACAGTATTTATTAGCCTTTATCTAAAGTTACAGATTTTAATATTTAGAGATATTAGGAAAATGGTACAAGGACCCACAGAGCTATAAGTATCAGAGCTGGAATTTACAATCTGTGGCTGACCTCTCAATGCTATAATATTTCCACAAGTAACATGAAACAACCTATTAATTTATCTCTCAACATTCATTTAATATTTAATTAATATTTACTCAATAAGTATTTAATGTGCATATATTGGGTAGGCTGCTTTTATAGATAACAATGATTATATTAGATAATGTTAAGAGCTTACTCTAAATCCATAGTCAAGTGCTTTGCATATATTATCTCATTAACTGTTCAGCAACCACCTCATCTATGAGGTAGATGTGATTATTATTCCTATTTCATAGGTAAAGAAACTTAGGTATGCATTACAGAACTTGGCCAATGTCATATAGCTGGTAGTCCAGTCCATGTAGCCTAATTCTAGAATCCAAACTCTTAATTGTAATAGTGTATTATCTTTAAAAATTAAATGACGTAGCTTCAAAATACATAAAGAAAAATTTGGCGGGAGCATAAGAAAAATGGACAAAATTATAACCACGGTGAAAGATTTTAATGTTCAAAAATTTATAAATCAAGCACAACAGAAATCAATAAATATATAGAAGATTTAAATTATATTAAGTTTCATCAAATTGATAAATACCGAACTCTGGATCCAACATCTGGAACACATACATTCTTTTTCTAGCACACAGAAACATTTAAGAAAAAAGGTCATGTCCTAAGTCTCTGCTGCTCAAATTCTAGTCCACAGACAAGACTGATTCATGAATGCCTGTTAACAATCCATAACAAAACAAGTTCAGAAACTAAGAGTAAGCACTGAGAAAAGTTTTATAACCCTTTGACACTGTTTGACATTCAGGAGCCCAATCAGTGTGCAAACGTGACGTGGACTTTACGTATTATGTTGGAGTATATTCTTATGGTACAGCCACACAGTTACTCAGATTAAGAATTTGTGCCAAAAAGTCAATTAATATATTGCTTTCCTCATCTATATATTCTTACAATTAAAAAATTACATGTGATTAGAGAAATGTAAATAAAATCAGAGAGAGGCCTCATTCACCCCAGTTAAGATGGCTATTGTCAAAAAGACAAAAGATAGCAAATGCTGGCAAGGACGTGGAGAAATGGGAACACTTATACACTGTTGGTGGGAAGGTAAACGAATATAACTAACATGGAAAATAGTATAGAAATCCACCCCCCAGAAAAACAATAACAGAACTACCACTACTGGATATTTATTCAAAGAAAAAGAAATCAGAATATCAAAGAGCTATCTGCACCCTTATGTTTATTGCTGCACTATTCACAATAGCCAAGATATGGAATCAACGTAAGCCTCCATCATCAGAAAAAATGGGTAAAGAAAATGTAGTATATAAACACAGTGGAATGCTATTCAGCCATCGAAAAGAATGAAATCCTGCCATTCTCTGCAACACAGTGACCCCCGAGGATATTACGTTAAGTGAAATAATTCAGTCACAGAAAGACAAATATTTCATGTTCTCAGTCATGTGTGGGAGCCAATAAAAGTTAAGCTCATAAAAGTAGAGAGTAGAATTGTGGTTATGAGAGTCTGAAAGGTTCAGGGGAGGGCAAGATAAATAGAAGTTGGTTAACAGATACAAAATTACAGCTAGATAGGAGAATTAATTCTGGTTCTTCTATAGTACAATGGGGTGACTATAGTTAGCAATATCTTATTATATATTTTCAAACAGAAGAGAGGATTTTGAATGTTCCCAACATAAACAAATGATAAATGTTTGAGTTGGTGGATTTGCTAATTACCCTAATTTGATCATTACACATTGTATACATATATTCAAATATTACTCTAATTAATTACTCATAATTAAGATTTGTGAATTATGTAAAGGCCAGCTATTAATTTTGAAAATATTCTCTTTGTGTGATAATATGGAAATAAATTATACACAACTGTTGCCAAATGTATAGATATCATGAGTGTAATTGACAATATCCACAATACTGAATCAATAATGTTTTTGCAAAATAACAAACCAGTTCGGTCCAAACATTTTAAACATAAGAATTGGGCAGAGGGCATATTATCTATTGTCTCTGGTATTTACTTGAAGGTAAAGAAGGAATGTCACATATTTATTAACGACAGATATTACTAAGGGACAAAGACAAACTTCAGAGAGTAAGGAAGGTAGAGTTTCTACAGATTCCTATAACATGTACCATAATTTCACAACTATGACAAGGAAACAGATGATTTCAATATTGTGTATCTGTGAAAAGTTATCAATAAACTGTTTTTGAATTTGATCGAATATTTTAAAATTTTATCTTCCAAAATTATTTTCTACCAAAAAATGAAATTTCATGAATACATATAAAATTCATGAATACAGAATCCATTTTTTCATCAAAAGGTAATTTAAATTTATCCATAATTTTACAATATAAATTATTGGAATTGGCTGATGACATATTAAAGTTGAAAGAAAAGCATCACTTGTTTCATTTCAGATAGAAGCTATGAAATGAACATTATGAACCTGAAATCTCTTCCTGCATTCCTATAAAGTTTTGAGATTAGTTTCTCTATATAGTAATTTTAAAATATGTCCATAATTTCTTTCATAAGCCTCCCTTTAAGAGGTAGAGGTTAACTCCACCACTTTTGGATTGGCCTTAGTGATCTGCTTCCAAAAAACAGAATATGGCAGAAGTGATGGTAAGTGGCTTCTGAAACGAAGTCACAAAGAGGCATTGCATTCTGGGGGAAGCCAGCAGCCTCGTAGTGAGGACGCTTAAGCAGCACGATGGAGAGGCCCCCTTGAGGAGGAAGGGAAGGCCTTGCCAGCAGCCTTCCGAACCTGACATTTTAGAACGAGATCCTTCAGCCTTCCCAAGCCTTCAGAGGAAACAGCCCCAGTCAAAACTTTGACCATAACTTTACGAAAGAGCTCCTAAGCCAGAACTAACCGCCTGAGCTGCTCCAAAAACCGTAAGCCACAGAAACTTTAAGTTCATTGTTTGAGATGTTACATCTTTGGGCAATTTATTATGCAGCAGTAGATAACTAACACAAGTGACCCCTGAATAACACAGGTTTGAACTGTGTGGGTCCACTTATATATGGATTTTCCAATACATCTACCACCCCTGAGACAACAAGACCAATTCCCCCATCGCTCCTCCTCAGCCTACTCAACATGAAGATGATGAGGACGAAGACTTTTGTGATAATCCACTTCCACTTAATGAATATCAATATATTTTCTCTTCCTTATGAGTGTCTTAATAACACTGTCTTTTCTCTAGCTTGCTTTATTGTAAGAATACAGTATATAATGCCTATAACATATATCATATGTGTTAATTGACTATGTTATCAGTAAGGCTTCTGGTCAAGAGTAGGCTATTAGTAGTCAAGGTTTGGGGGAGTCAGAAGCTGCACAGGGATTTTTGACTGCAGGGTCATCAGCACTCCAACTCTCTGCTTGCTCAAAAACCAACTGTACACTCTACAATGGAGTATTAATAGAGCAAAGTATATCAATAGTTTAGATGTATGTTATCTCCTAACAGTACTATGGTTATAAATCCAACCTAGATTAGCTAAATTTATAAGCAAGAAACAAGCTCATTTGTTACATTAAACCCTTTAAATATACATGATATCTAATCAAAGGGTGCCAAAGGTACTTAAAATAGAAACTTGCTACTTCCTTCATAAATTTTAGTTTTGTTATGATACTAGAATGACAGAGTTATGAATTTAATAGAAATTATTTACATTAATCACCTTATGTGAAATTGTAGTGAACCATAAATTCAGTTTTCTTAATTCTTTTCTTTCTTCCATTATTATTTTGTTCTGATTATATTTCCTGGAATGTAAATTTCTGCTTGTTGAATACTAAAATGTGGGTTTGCATTTTGTATGTCTTTTAAAAATTTTTTCTTCATAGTAATTTATTTGCTTATTAATTTATTGCATTTATAAAAGTATAAGCCATGATAGGAAATTTAAAAGAAAATGACCCTTTGATAAGATAATTTGAGAAGCACTATCATAGGCCATAAAAAGTGACACAAATTTAAAGTTTAAGTTGTATATACATACATTCTATGACTTCAATTCAATTAAATAAGAAATCAATGATTTAAAAGATAAAAACAAGTAACATCCTTCTAAATAACACATAATTCATGGGAAATCATTTAGTCATTTAGGAATCACTCAGAACTGATTATTAATAAATCAAGGCTTGTGAGATCTAGACTAAGGCAGTGTATGGAGAGAAATTTACCATGTTAAATGATTATATTGGAAAAGACAAAAAGCTGAAAATTAATTATCTAAAATAAGAGGTTCAAAAAATAAAATTAATCAGAAGAAAGTAGAAGGAATGATATCTGAACACATTTAAAAAGAAAATTAAAATTTAATAAATAGCTTAATAAAGTCTTGGTTTATTAATAATATTGTTATAATAATTTTGTTATATTAATTATATTAAATATAATAGTTATATTAATTATTATTAATAATAACCTCTACCTTTTAATAAAGTCTTGGTTTGTTGACAAGTTCCATAGAATTCACAAACCTAAGACAAGTCTAATTATTTTTAAAGAGAAAATACCCAAACATTATTAGGAATCAAAATGTACATTTCATTCGATAAAGGAGTGATTTTTAAAAGCTAAAAGAATACTTCGTGCAGTTTCATGTCAATACATTTGAAGACAGACAAATTAGAAAAACAAAATCTAAAAATATGTGAATTGCCAAAAGAGACTCTAAAAGATTTGGAAACCTAGACTACTCCTACACTCATTGAAGAAATTTCATCACTATTTAAGTCACAACATTAAAATCTCAGGCTGGGAGAGTTTTATATGCCAGTTCCGCAAAATATTCAACAAAAAGATAATTTTCATCTTGTGCAAACCCTTCCAAAGACTTAAAAGTTTAGTGTAAAGCTGATGCTTATACAGGAAAGGACATTATGAAAATATCACACTATAGGTTGTTCCCACTTGTAAACATAGATGCTAAAATCCTCAACAGAATAATAGCTAAAAGAAATCAAGATTGTTTTTTGAAAGACAGTGTGTTATTGCCAAAAGAGTTTTATCCAAGAATTACAATTAGCTTCTGCATTTGAAAACCTGTTAGTCTAATTTGCCATATTAACAGAATAAATTAGGTCAATAGATTAAAAAAATGCAATCCATAAATTCAACAAAACCACTAAATAAAATACAAATGAAAAAAGACCTTTAAAAACTGACAGCAGATAATTTTAGAAAGCCCCAAAGCAACATGTTAAATAATTTAAAAATATTAAAAGTTTTTACTTTAATATGAGGAACAAGAACATCTACCATCAACCACTTCTATTCAATATCCTGTAGCTTCTGTTCACAATAAAAAAATAGAAACAAAAATAAAAGTTGTAAGTTTTGGAAAGAAATCAAAATCATTCTTATTGAAAATGATAGCACTATCTACTAATTATTAGAATTAATTGTTGAGATAAGATTTCTGGATACAAAATTAACATGAAAAAAATTAGTTGCATTTCTAACTACCAATAACAGGAAATGTTACATATATAACGCTATGCATACGTACAATATGTACAAATACACAGGTACACACATGAACACACATGTATATACAAAAAATATCTACAAGGAAAAATTTTAAAAAGATGCTAAGGATTTTGTGGAGAAACTTATTTTCTGAAAGACAACAAATTATCTAAAAGGTGTCTATTTTCCCCAGACTTATCTATGGATTACACAATGTTTAAATTAGTGTATCAACAGGTTTGATTGTTTTTTGTTTGTAGTACTTGCCAGGATGATACAAAATATATGTGAAAAACAAAATCCCAAGAACAGACAAATAAAATTATGGCAATTAAGAATGTGGTATTTATGCTAGAATAAATAATTAGACCAGTGACAGAGAATAGAGAATTTAGAAACAGATCCAAAGATATTAATTCAACAAACATTTATTGAACATTTGCTTGTGTCAGGGTTAGTGGTGGGTGGTTGGCAAAAGCCATTGAGTCAAACAAGCAAAGACTCTGGCTTATGTTCTACTGCATCACAGCCGCTTGACATATGGCACAGTGGGCTTTGAGGAATAGCGTGGGAAGTGTGGAATGTTGGATTGTGCTTTAGCAATTTCCATTTGAGAAAGGAAGGAAGACGAAACCTGATTTTACCTCACACCTTATTCTGAAAGCCATTCCAGATTTAAGAAGTACTTACGTATGCAAGGCAAAATTTTAAATTTTTAGAAGAAAATATAGACACTTATCTTCGTGATTTCACAATAAGAAGGAATTACTTCAAACACAAAGCTTATTAATCACAGAGGAAAATAATGATAAATTGTATTACTTTAAAATTAGCAACCATTGCTTATCAAAAGGCATCATAAAGCAAGTGAAAAGACAAGCTACACATTGATAAAAAATATTCTGAGCAAATATACTAATATAAGATTAACATCTAGAATACAAAAAACTCCATACAATAAATATTTTAAAAAGTAATTAAAGAGGGACAAAATAAATGAATAAAAATTTTATGGAACATCAACACAAATGGCCAATATATATTATGATACTGACTTTAATTATAGTCAAAGATTTGAAAATTAAACCCATAGGTCAATAGCAGTTCACATTCACCAGTTTGAGATCAGAAAGGAACACAGAAGGCTTCAAAGTCTCTGGGTAATGGTTTATATCATAAGCTGGGTTGCAGAAACACTTTTTAAATAATCTGCTTATTCTAAGCCTTTAACTGCATGACAAAAATAAAAGTCAGATATTAAATATGTAAGAAATTAAGTAAAAACCAAAAAGAACTGGGTTAAAAAACAAAGATGCAGACATAAAGATTGGCTATGGTAAAATGATGATGATGCCTCCAAGTCACTTATAATTTAACAGATGTGTTTACATTTATAAAACTAAAAGAGAGTTAAAGAGTTGGAGATTTAAAAATTGCTGTGAGGCCAGACGTGGTGGTTTATGCCTGTAATCCCAGCACTTTGGGGGGCCAAGGTGGGCAGATCACGAGGTCAGGAGATCAAGACCATCCTGGCCAACATGGTGAAACCCCATCTCTACTAAAAATACAAAAATTCGATGGGCATGGTGGTGTGCACCTGTAATCCCAGCTACTTGGGAGGCTGAGGCAA